>NC_000004.12:116194108-116345623 GCF_000001405.40 Homo sapiens
CTCTCTAGTCTCTGCTTTCACTAATAGAAAATAGCCAAGTTCACAGCAAGCATACAGTTGAACATATAAGTTATACTGACGACACAACTCATCTTTAATTGCTTACTGAAATAACTGAACAACATCTTCTGAGTTTCCTAGAGATTTATGTATGGCACCAAGAAGCAAATACTTTAATCCAATAGATGAATTATCCACTCACTGGCGAAATTTGACTAATTCCTCTATAGGTTGGGAACAGAACAGTTTGGAAGGGCTTTCTATAAGTATAACACTTCAGTAGATGCCAGCACACAGGGCAGTTTGGTTAAGGTTTGTTTCCAAACTCCCTCTGACTTTTTCACAGAGAACTGTTCAATTTGGTTGTTTTTCCTTTTGAAGAGTTTGTGAACTTCTTTAAAGACAAACTGTGCCTCCCACATCACCAGTGGATTCCTGACAAACTGCAGTTAAACAGGCAGATAGCACTGGGACTGTCTGAACCCTTTATTTTTTTTCAGCCTCTCTAAGGAATCAAATTTATCCTTGCAATTCAGCTTTACCATTTGGCACCAACCAATTTCATACAGACAGACATGTTGAATTTCTCTCAGACGTATTGCAAGTTCCAAAGCATTATGAAAAGGAGTTAAGACACTTGATTTGTCATGACTTATTATAAAGGACACAACTCAGGAACAGTCAAATGGGAGAGATGCACAGGGCAAGGTATGTGGGAAGGGGCATAGAGCTTTCATGCCCTCTCAGGGCATGCCACCCTTCCAGAACCTTCATGTGCTCACCAACCTAGAAACTTCTATTTTTAAATGCCCTGAATATATATGCCATACAAATGATTGAAAACAACAACAACAAATCAACTCCATGGCGGTCACCATGTTAGATCTGTTGAAATGCTACAACAGGCCAGGCACGGTGGCTCAGGCCTGTAATCCCAGCACTTTGGGAGGCAGAGGCGGGCGGATCACCTGACATCAGGTGTTCCAGATCAGTCTGTTAAACATCGGGAATCCCTGTCTCCACTAAAAATACAAAAATTAGCCAGGCATGGTGGCGCGCTCCTGTAGTCCCAGCTACTCATGAGGCTGAGGCAGAAGAATCATTTAAACTCAGGTGGCAGAAGTTGCAGTCAGCTGAAATCGTGCCACTGAACTCCAGCCTGGGCGACAGAGCAAGACTCTGTCTCAGTACATGCATGCATACATACATACATACATACATACATACATACATACATACATACTACAACTATATTAGTTGAAATGATAATAAGTTAGTTACACAGAATAAAAGAGGCATCTTAGTGATCCGCCTTTGGGAACAGAAAACCCAGTTTTCTGGGGGAAATAAAGCATTCTGTATGAAAGTTTATTAAAGCATTTAGTTGACAGATTGCTTCTATAACCTTTGTTCTTGTTTGTGAGAAACATTTATAAGCCTATGCTTCTAAAATCTATAAACTGATATTCTCATTCACAATTAAAATGAGCAAGACAGATTGGTTTTAGCACACAATAGCATTTTTATGGACTCTCATTTTTTTCATGGGCCACTTAGCTGTAAATAATTCATGCAAATAGCAATTAGACCTTTCCTGGTTTATGCATATACACATAATGGTTATTCAAGTAACACAGAAATATTTCAAGCAGTTTTCTATATAAGACATGGATATTTAAAACCATATGTTTGAAAGGTTAATTAAATGGATTTGAAATAAAATACAAGATAATTCAGAATGGTGAATTTCTGTATTTTTCAGGTCAGTACCTCCACATACTGTAGCAAACAAGTCAAAAACCTGTTGAATTTTCTGTTACCATCTTACAGTGTTTTAAATCTGTACTGTTATGTTCAATATTTTTTCTTAAGAAAAAAGATGAAGATTATATTTAACTATAGTGTAAGTATAAAAACTGTAGTATCAGCATTGATACAGTACTAGTATCTTATTTAATGACCTTACTTAAATATTTCCTATTGTTCCATTGCTATAAGTGACAAAAATCTGGTCCTGGATCCAAGGCAAGATTTTAACTTGCACTGAGTTGTTAAATTTCTTTAATCTCCCATAATCTGGAACAATTCCTTGGATTTTTGTTGTCTTTGATGTCCTTGATATTTGTGGGATGTTCCTCTATTTACATATTTGTATGATGTTTCTTTATGATTAAATTCAAGTTAAACATTTTTGGCAGGGTTACCAGAGGAAATATTTCATCCTTCTCTGAGCATAATGATAGGAAGCACATGATTTCTATTTGTCCCATTACTGATGAGGTTAACTTGTTTTGCTGAGTTCAGGTAGTGTGTAACTTCTGCTCTTTGATATTACTATCTTTCCATTTCTAATTAATAAGTAACTTGGGCAAGTACTATCTTGAAGTTATGACCAAGACCCATGATTTATTTTAACATTGTGACGAAGTATCAACATAAATTTCTGGGAGGATTATGGCCATTATACAATTAACTAAAGAGACATTGAGACTCACGTTGAGTAGAGGTAAAGAGCTGTGCAGTGAAGGATCTTCAGTGACAGGAGTGAAGGCAGAGCATGTTCACAGATGCAGAGCAGTTGGAATATTTCTTGAAGAAAGGTGAGTTTTTTCTTCTGTTACTCCCTTTTCTGTAAAATAGATGGCAGAGTATCAGCTTGATGCAAGAGGCAAGGAGATGTTAGAGGTTTGATGAGAGAAAACGTTCATATTGGAAGTATTTGAGAGTTCATAACCTAGGGGGAAAATAGGAGGACTGCTTAGTAGAAATTATAAATTGCATGAGATATATAAGTATCTCCATTCACATAAAATGAAAACAGTGAGCACAGCTGTTTCAATTTTTCCCAATTGTATACTTCTTGCATACAGTTGCTGAAGAGGAAATTAATTGGTTTTAATCATTAAAATTAGAGATGAGAGAATTTCCCAGCAAGTATAAGAAATGTAGAGCAGGGAAAGAAAATGATGAAGCCCTGTCTTTATGTTGGGTAAAGAAGAAAGGAAGAAAATGATAGGTGTGGTGAAGTTTAAAAACTGGTAGTGTCAGTAAATTAGATGATGCAAAGTGTTGGAATAGTATCTGGAGTGAGAATATTGGAGTAAGTAATCTTGAAAAACAGATGAATGCAGTCAGTAGCTAAATGTTTTAAATAATTTTGGAAGTGAAACATTTATTGATAACTATATATATGTGTGTCTGTATATACACACATACACACACACGAGTGCACACATGTGCACATACTAGTGTACCAGGGTACACTGTGGAATAGTGCAAATTAATAAGACAGGATGTGGATGATCTGATGACATTTTTATTTTTCTTGGATGAGAAGTAATATATATCCTGTCAATCTCTTCGAAATAGGGAGGAAATCTGTCTCACCAACTCACCTGCCTGTTTTGTAGCTGACTGAGTGACAGAATATATATCCATCATCTAATAGTACTCAGGGAAGCATTATCCTGAAGCTGTAACCAAAATTGTGCTATTATTCTTATTTATCATAATTACTATTCCATGTCTACAGAATGTTTGTTGAAATCTTCCATTTGGAGTCAGGAAAAGTTCTTCTATTGTCATTCCTGTGTAGCCTGAAGTTAGTCACCTTTGTAAAAACTAGGAGAAGACTATTTATCCACTGGCCGCTACTGTTTCTCCTATTCCACACCCATAAAATATTAGCATAGTGATCATGGCAAACCCCCAATATAAAAAAGAGATACTCAATTGTGTCAATAATTGAGAGAATAAACATGTAATAAATAAAAGTGTGTTATTCTAATAACTGTTTTTGTCTTATTTAATTTTGGCTGCCATAACAAAGCATCATAGACTACATGGCTTATAAACAATAGGAATTTATTTCTGAGTTCTAGAGGCTAGAAGTCTGAGATCAGGGCACCAGCATGGTCAGGTTCTGCTGAGGGTCCTCTTCTGGACTATAGATTGCAGACTTCTCATTGTATATTTATTGTATCCTCTTGTGGCAGAAAGAAGGCTCGAGAATTCTATTTTTTTTTTTTTAATAGAGGCACTAGTGACATTCATGAGGGCACCACCATACCAAGTAATTTCTTTCCAAAGACTTCATCTTCTAAAATGATCACATTGGGGATTTGGATTTCAATATATAAATTCCAAGGTGACACAATTGTTCAGGCCATTGCAGTTAACATAATTTTTAATTTAGAAATTTAATTGCACTCTTTGAAATATTTAAGAAGAAATATGAGAAGAAAGAATACGCCCATAGTAATGCATTTTAGTGAAGATTAAAACTGTTATTAAATAGCAGAATGGAGAAGTAGATTGTGTAATGCCAGGGGGCAATGGAATAAATAAACTATAGCTTTTTCACAACATCGATAAATTTCACAAATGTTCATATGGAAATGTACACAAGTCATAAGTATGCAGCTTAGTGAATTATTACAGTGTAGAATGGAAGATTACCTCACCAATTAAGAAAGAATAAGTAAAAAAGGATATTTGAATTATTGCAAAGTAAATATTTAATGAAGTAACACATTTTCCCAGTGAGATAGGAAAAGACATAGAAAGTGATGAAAAGAAAGATGAGATAAGTAGGTACTCCACACATTTTACTTGGGGATATACCCATATACCCATTGATGATAATGGGTTAGCTAGTCACCAGCAACCAGTTCTTTAAATGTTCACAGCCTATGATTCAGCAATCTCACTTCCAGGAACAGATTTTGTAGATATATTTGCACAAAATTTTAAAAATAATAGCAAAGTAAACTATATATATAATATATAAGTTTATATATAAAGTGTATATAGTAGTTTATTTTGCTATTATAATCTTCATATCTATTAATCGTGTAATAATTGAATAAATGATATATATGGAAAAATAAAATAGCTCTCTTAAGAAACACACATAAAATGTGAAATATGTTGCATTTTGTAAAGTGTATATGACATGTTTAATTGTGTGCTTTATACTTTCAATTTGTATTTTATGAATTATATATTGTTTTCTTGTTCAATAATAGATGAACAATTTAGACTTTCTTTTATTTCCAAAGAACATACTGTAGCATTTATTTCTCAAAGCATTCATTTTTATCTGTCTTAATTTATTAGTATCTTTAGTGTAAGTAATACCTTTCTTTTAGGTAAGTTATACCTCTTTTACATAAATAAAAACCTCTTTATTTTTGAAAACTCTCCTATTTTCTGAGTTACATGTTTATTTTATTTACTTGGTTTTTAATTATTTTCTTAAACAATTTTTAACATACATTTTTATTAAGATGGAGTATCACTCCATCTTAATAAAATTAATTAGCTCTTAATTTGTTGTTAAATGTCAAGTATATCTTATGTAGGAAGCATGTATTTTGTTTTTTTGAAATTTGTCCAGTCTCTCAGCTCTTTAATTGTTATATTTAATTAATGTATTTCAATATAATTAATATGATTGTTGTGGTGGGGACTGTTAAGACCACACCCAGGTTTGATAATTCACAAAGAGGATTCATAGGACTTAGAATATAGTCATACTCATGGCTATTACTAATTATGGTGAAAAGATACAAAGCAAAATCAGCAACATGAATAGATGCAGGATAGAGTCTGGAGGAAAACAGGTGCAGCTTACAAAGAGTATTCACCTATTGGAGTTACACAATGCATGCTTAATTCCTCCAACAAATGTTGTGACACTATGTGTTGTAGAGACTCAATGTCCACAGTTTTATTAGGGTCTAGTCACATAAAACCCTATTCCTAGCACATATGAAATATCAGACTTGCAGAAAGAAATTAGATGTTCAGCATAAGCCATATTGTTTTTACAAGTATTTTAGGCAGGGTGAGCCACTCTTTTTAGTTCTGAGAATAGTAGGAAATATCCCAAAATTCAGATTCCCAGATGCCAGACAAAAGGCAACTTCACCAGCAGGTCTTTATAAGGACAGCAACCTCAGGCTTTCTATGTTACCCCTTTCTAAGCAGCCATACCTTTGGCCCTTGGCCAAAGTTTCCTTACAACATGGCCTCTTTTCCAGATTGCGTATTACTATGATTTTAGTTTGATTATTTAAGTAATCAGATTTACAGGATTATTTCACTCTTAAGAGATTACGGCATGCTGCCACATGAGAAATGCCCCAACAATTTTGAGACAACACATAAAATAGCTAAGAGCATTTGTAATCTTCCCCAGGCAAGGGTGAATAACAAAACTTCCAAAATTTCTCAGTAGCTTTACAATAATAATGATATTTTTCACTTATGTCACCTTTTGGCAGCTAAGAGTAAGCTGCAGTTCTTTGCTTCTACGTTTATTTAGCTTATCTATATGTCTTCCTCTCTCTTAGGCCCTAACTGAAAGATCAGTGGTTACAAGTGTAACAAGATGAAAAAGCAAGAGAGCAGGCAAAAACCAGCTATGGCTCTAAAAGCTGTCGTAGTTATCACTTCTGCTCACATGCCATTGGCTAAATCAAGTTACATGGTGAAGCCCAGCACTAATTCTGGAAGGAGGCATACTCTTCCCACTGGAGAAGGCTGTATCACACGACAAAAGAAAGGAAGGTCAATCTTTCTGAGAAAAGAATGAGTGAATAAATGGGAACTGTTATACCTTTAATATTTACTGTTTCCACATGGTGGTCCAAATGCTTTATATATGTTATGAGGAATTATTTACCTTATTTCAAAGAAAAGCAAAGTTCAATATAATTCTTCCTGAAATATTTAATAATGAGATTCAGTTAATTCAGTTGTGCCTGAAATTTTTAATGTATCAATTAAAAATTTTTAATTCAGCAATTTATATTGCAAAAGAATATGCACTTAGACTTTAGAGATTTTAGTATAACCTCAAACATATTTATAGACTTTACTAAAGTTACATATATTCTGTTCATTTCACTATTTTTTTACACACACATACATATATACTGATCATAAACTTATTCAGCCACATTGGTGGCTATATGCTATAATTGTATCTATGAGAAAATATGTTGTTCATCACAGCAAAATATGAAAGCTATTACATGCTGCTACAGACTGAAAACTTTACTTGATGATGTGTGGCTATGAGTAATAGAAACAATGTTAACTACAGCAATATATTTGTTTATGAAAATACAGAATATTTTATATAGGATCTAGAAATGTAATATTACATTTATTTATATTTCAAGTTCTTTATCTATAAAATTGTGATAATAATCTTTTAAATTTTATGGGATTTCATGTAAGTTAAACTAATTTGTAGAAAGCATTTGGATCATTGTATGAAAATAGTACATATTTAGCATCAATGTGTGCATTTTTATTTTATCCACATGAAATACAGCAAAACTTAAGGAAAATACCAACGTTTTCTTTATTACATAGTATTTACTTAGTATTATTAAAGATATTTATCTTGAATATTAACATTTTAAGCACACACAGTTCAATACCAGAAGTTTCTCTAAGTTTTCACAACATTTGACAAGGGATTTTGGACAGTTGAAGGAAGATAAATATTGGCTTGGAAATAAAAAATGAGCTTGAAAGATAGAAAAACTTAAATGTATGGGACTTTGTAATTGACTATATAGCAAAGAAAGTCAATGATAACTTGAAATGTTATGGCTGTATACAGAATGGAGGATAATGGTGCAACAGAGATAAGAAATAGAGTAGAAGAAAAGATTTAGTGGAAAATTCAAGATGTGAATTTTACTAGTTCAAAATGATGACAAAAACCTAATTTTTAAAGTTTTAAGTAAATGTGCATTAACCACAGAAACTCATGCTCAGTGCAATCCTATTAAGACATAAGTATCTGCCTTTTAAGGATACATATTCTTGCATTAATACAAAAATTGATACCACTGACGTAAATGTGAAACAAAAATCTTGGGATTCGACTTGTTATCAATGTCTATCAGATTTAATAAGGACACCAAAATTTGTAAGAAGTCATTTCTCTATTAATCCAGATTTGCATTTTAATAGAGAGAAGTAAAAGAAACTTCATACAGATATCATAATATATTATCTGACGATATAATCTGATTATATGTGATTAACAGAGAATATTTTTTCTCACTCTTTGGATTTTTATTTTCTGTCACTCTCCACCATTCTTATGCTAAGTTCTAGAAAATTAATTTCATTATGGCTCAAGATGCAAACTATCTTAAGTACTAACTTTAAATGTGAATTAAAATTTGCCTTGATATTCATTACCAGGAGAGGTTTCCTACATCTGGTCCTAACTGTTTGAATCAACTCCTGATTTCCCCTGGTTTTCCTTGATCCAAGACAAACATGCCTAGGTGCTATAGGTTACTCTTTTTGATGACTCAAAAATATAATATTTTGGTGAAATTAACTTCCAATATTTTTAAAATTATCATCTGGGCATGTTTAGATAGTTGGAGAGCATTAAACTTATCTATTGTCATTAATTTCATGGAAATGAATTTGGGAAATTATCTGATAACCTAAGGATGCCACTGTTGGAAAGCACTTGACTCTTCTCTGATAAAAAGTTAATTAAAACATCATTCTGCTAGCATGTTTGGCTCTCTTTGATGTTCACGTAATTACATTATTTGGATATGATCAGATTATATGCAAAAAACAGAGGTAGGCAAGTTAGAAGATTAGAAAAACAATTTAAACAACTTGAGTCAGAACTTTTTGTAGGGTAATTTCCCATGCTTAATCTGATTTCTGGCAATTCTTACATAATGAATTCATTTGAAATTTTCTAAGAGGTTTGAGCAGATTTTCTTCTTTGATAAGGCCTATTAATGTGAAAGTGAACATGACAAATGGCCTTTGCTATACATCTGACTTCAAGCAGCCAATTTTGTAACCTTGAAAATCTGTCAGGGAAAGCACCAGATAAAAGAAAAATAAACTTAGATTCATGAGGAAAAGAGAAAAAACACTGTAAATAACTCTTGTAGTTATCACTTATCAAGCTATTACATGTATTCCAAATACTAGATTGTATGTATATGTCTACTGCTTCAGTAATTACTACTTAAGAAGGATTAATGCAGAAAGAAAAGTCAAACAGAACAAATTGAAGGTACAAATAATATTCAACTTAAAGGAGCACACTTTTGCATAACAAAATAAGATTCTCAGTATATTTTTAAATGCAATTAATTTACTGAGTTGTTAAATTTGTGCAAATTAATATTTCTTGAAAACAGCATTTATTAAACATAAAAAATTATGTTTTACTTTAGAATAAGCACAAGATAAGTTTATCTTTTTAAAGTATATAGTATGAAATTGTATTATTTACTGAAGGTTTTTTCTGTCTATAAAATACACTATTTAGATAAATAACCATGCTAGTATACCAACTGTTACCATTACAAGCTGTTTCAAAGAGAAATTACTTTTTCTAAGTTGATCATTAGAAACATATGCTAGCAAAGCAAAATAAGTGCCAAATAAGATTTTACATTTTAAGCAAAAAGAGGAATACACTTTAAAAATAACCCTCAAAGTTATTTTAAATAGCCCACTTTACACTCATATGATTTTGCCTTTGGGAAGACACAAGATGGAAAGTATCTTCCTAAACACATACACACACACACACACACACACACACACACACACACACACGATGGAAAGTATCTTCCTAAACACATACACACACATACACACACACACACACACACACACACACGTTGTTTTAGGCAGATTTTTTTTTTTTTTTGGAAAGTTTCCAATTTTTTTTTTTTTTTTTTATTATACTCTAAGTTTTAGGGTACATGTGCACATTGTGCAGGTTAGTTACATATGTATACATGTGCCATGCTGGTGCGCTGCACCCACTAATGTGTCATCTAGCATTAGGTGTATCTCCCAATGCTATCCCTCCCCCCTCCCCCGACCCCACCACAGTCCCCAGAGTGTGATATTCCCCTTCCTGTGTCCATGTGATCTCATTGTTCAATTCCCACCTATGAGTGAGAATATGCGGTGTTTGGTTTTTTTGTTCTTGCGATAGTTTACTGAGAATGATGGTTTCCAATTTCATCCATGTCCCTACAAAGGATATGAACTCATCATTTTTTATGGCTGCATAGTATTCCATGGTGTATATGTGCCACATTTTCTTAATCCAGTCTATCATTGTTGGACATTTGGGTTGGTTCCAAGTCTTTGCTATTGTGAATAGTGCCGCAATAAACATACATGTGCATGTGTCTTTATAGCAGCATGATTTATACTCATTTGGGTATATACCCAGTAATGGGATGGCTGGGTCAAATGTTATTTCTAGTTCTAGATCCCTGAGGAATCGCCACACTGACTTCCACAATGGTTGAACTAGTTTACAGTCCCACCAACAGTGTAAAAGTGTTCCTATTTCTCCGCATCCTCTCCAGCACCTGTTGTTTCCTGACTTTTTAATGATTGCCATTCTAACTGGTGTGAGATGATATCTCATAGTGGTTTTGATTTGCATTTCTCTGATGGCCAGTGATGATGAGCATTTCTTCATGTGTTTTTTGGCTGCATAAATGTCTTCTTTTGAGAAGTGTCTGTTCATGTCCTTTGCTCACTTTTTGATGGGGTTGTTTGTTTTTTTCTTGTAAATTTGTTTGAGTTCATTGTAGATTCTGGATATTAGCCCTTTGTCAGATGAGTAGGTTGCAAAAATTTTCTCCCATGTTGTAGGTTGCCTGTTCACTCTGATGGTAGTTTCTTTTGCTGTGCAGAAGCTCTTGAGTTTAATTAGATCCCATTTGTCAATTTTGTCTTTTGTTGCCATTGCTTTTGGTGTTTTGGACATGAAGTCCTTGCCCACGCCTATGTCCTGAATGGTAATGCCTAGGTTTTCTTCTAGGGTTTTTATGGTTTTAGGTTTAACGTTTAAATCTTTAATCCATCTTGAATTGATTTTTGTATAAGGTGTAAGGAAGGGATCCAGTTTCAGCTTTCTACATATGGCTAGCCAGTTTTCCCAGCACCATTTATTAAATAGGGAATCCTTTCCCCATTGCTTGTTTTTCTCAGTTTTGTCAAAGATCAGATAGTTGTAGATATGCGGCATTATTTCTGAGGGCTCTGTTCTGTTCCATTGATCTATATCTCTGTTTTGGTACCAGTACCATGCTGTTTTGGTTACTGTAGCCTTGTAGTATAGTTTGAAGTCAGGTAGTGTGATGCCTCCAGCTGTGTTCTTTTGGCTTAGGATTGACTTGGCAATGCGGGCTCTTTTTTGGTTCCATATGAACTTTAAAGTAGTTTTTTCCAATTCTGTGAAGAAAGTCATTGGTAGCTTGATGGGGATGGCATTGAATCTGTAAATTACCTTCTGATGCCAAAGCCGGGCAGAGACACAACCAAAAAAGAGAATTTTAGACAAATATCCTTGATGAACATTGATGCAAAAATCCTCAATAAAATACTGGCAAACTGAATACAGCAGCACATCAAAAAGCTTATCCACCATGATCAAGTGGGCTTCATCCCTGGGATGCAAGGCTGGTTCAATATACACAAATCAATAAATGTAATCCAGCATATAAACAGAGTCAAAGACAAAAACCACATGATTATCTCAATAGATGCAGAAAAAGCCTTTGACAAAATTCAACAACCCTTCATGCTAAAAACTCTCAATAAATTAGGTATTGATGGGACGTATTTCAAAATAATAAGAGCTATCTATGACAAACCCACAGCCAATATCATACTGAATGGGCAAAAACTGGAAGCATTCCCTTTGAAAACTGGCACAAGACAGGGATGCCCTCTCTCACCGCTCCTATTCAACATAGTGTTGGAAGTTCTGGCCAGGGCAATCAGGCAGGAGAAGGAAATAAAGGGTATTAAATTAGGAAAAGAGGAAGTCAAATTGTCCCTGTTTGCAGACGACATGATTGTTTATCTAGAAAACCCCATCGTCTCAGCCCAAAATCTCCTTAAGCTGATAAGCAACTTCAGCAAAGTCTCAGGATACAAAATCAATGTACAAAAATCACAAGCATTCTTATACACCAACAACAGACAAACAGAGAGCCAAATCATGGGTGAACTCCCATTCACAATTGCTTCAAAGAGAATAAAATACCTAGGAATCCAACTTACAAGGGATGTGAAGGACCTCTTCAAGGAGAACTACAAACCACTGCTCAAGGAAATAAAAGAGGACACAAACAAATGGAAGAACATTCCATGCTCATGGGTAGGAAGAATCAATATCGTGAAAATGGCCATAGGCAGATGTTTTTGCAGAGGCAAGGGAAGAGAGGAAGATTTAGGATGTGCTCTGGCCAAGCAGCTCAAAAATTACTCTATCACAGATGAATAAGCATCCCTACCAAACACACTGTCATCGTCCTTCTAGTTCTGTGTAATAGATAATAAAAAACCATCTGTCCATTGCAGTAATTTGCCAAGAGCACAGCCTAACATATTATTTCATTTTACTAACTTAAAAATGAAATAATAAACAGTATTCATGAACAAAGTTTATTATTTTCTGCAATGTTTGAAATGAAGTGTTCTATGACTAACTTGACAAAATAAGTCATGGAAATAATAAATTTTGTGGTTTATAATGAAAAAACAAAATGCCTGTTTTTGACTCCTTCAAAAAAGAACAACAAGAAAAAAAAAACAAAACTAAGATTAGTTTTGATTACTCTTTCATATCTACTTTTCTTTAAAAAAATCAATAAACTTTTTTTTTTCAGATCAGTTTCAGGGTTAAAGAAAAATTGGGCAGAAAGTAGAAAGAGTTCCATATACTTTCTGTCCTACTGCCCTTAGTTTTCCCTATCATTGATACCTTGCATTGGTGTGACACATTTGTTACAATTGAAACAATAGTGGACGGGCGGGCCCGGTAGCTCACGCCTGTAATCTCAGCACTTTGGGAAGCCGAGGTGGGCGGATCACCTGAGGTTAGGAGTTCGAGACCAGACTGATCAACATGGTGAAACCCTGTCTCTACTAAAAATACAAAAATTAGCCAGGTGTGGTGGTGCAGACCTGTAGTCCCAACTACTTGGGAGGCTGAGGCAGGAGAATTGCTTGAACTGGGAGGCGGAAGTTGCAGTGAGCCAAGATCATGTCACTGCACTCCAGCCTGGGCAACAGAGCAAGACTCTGGCAAAAAAAAAAAAAAAAAAAAGTACTGACACTATAGATGTTATAACTAATATCTATAGCTTCCATTACGGTTCACTCTTTGTGTTGTAACACATCTATGGGTTTTGCCAAATACATAATATCACATAGCCGCCAAAACAGTATCATTAAAAATTCAAATTTTTATTACAGTGTTATACACAGTACATAGAGTGTTATTGCTCTTAAAACTCCCTGACTTAATCTATTCATCCCTCTCTCTCAACCTCTCAACCCCTGGCAACTATGGATATTTTTATTGTCTATAACTTCACCTTTCCCAGAATATCATACATTATGTAGCCCTGGAATGGTACACTAAGTACTTCTCAGATTGGCTTCTTTCACTTATTAATATGAATTTAAGGTTACTTTGTGTATTTTTGTGGCTTGATGGCTCATTTCTTTTTGTCACTAAATTTTGATAGAGGTATACACCTACGAAGCCATTAACACAATCATGAAAATTGGCATAGTCATCAGTCCCAAAAGTTTTTTTTGTCACATTTTAAAATTAATATACTATTTTTGAGAAGTTTTAGTGTTGTGTATTTGTTACAATTATTGAGCCAAATTAGATTCATTACTTTTATTATTATTATTATGTGAGATGGAGTTTTGCTCTTGTCGCTCAGGCTGGAGTGCAATGTCACAATCTCAGTTCACTGCAACCTCTGCCTCTCAGATTCAAGCAATTCTACTGCCTCAGCCTCCTGAGTAGCTGGGATTACAGGTGTGCACCACAATGCCCAGCAAATTTTTGTATTTTTAGTAGAGACGGGGTTTCACTATGTTGGCCAGGCTGGTCTCGAACTCCTGACCTCAGGCGATCCTCCCACCTCGGCCTCCCAAAGTGCTGGGATTACAGGTGTGAGACACCGTGCCCAGGCTACTTTGAGTTAATTGTAATGAAAGTTTTAATGTCCATGTTTAGATTCTTTTTTTTTTTTTGCATGTGGATGTCCAGTTGTTTCAGCATCATTTGATAAAAAGATTAGTTTTTCGTTATTGATCACTTTTGCTTCTTTGTCAAAGATTGGTTGACTATATTTATTTGAGTTTATTTTGTGGCTATTTGTTCTATTCCATTGATCTATTTGTTTACTTATTTATTTATTTTTTTTGCCAATGCAACACAGTCTTAATTACAATAGTTTTATAACAAAACTGAAGTACAGTAGCTTTAGTCCTCAAACTTTGCTCTTCTTCACTATCATCTTGGCTATTTTTAGACTTTTGCTTCCATATAAATTGTAGGATCAGTTTATCAATGTCTACAAACTAATGTGCTGGAATTATGAGTAGGGATTCCTGGAATTCGTGGGTCAGGATGGAAATAACTAACTTATTAACAATATTGAATCTTACTATCTATGTGCATGCAATATCTTTTTATTAATTTAGGTATTCTGTGATTCTTTCATCAGAGTCTTGTAGTTTTCCTCATTGAAAACTGGTACACATTTTGTTAGACTTATACCTATTATATTATTTGTTGGTGCTAATGTAAATGGTGTTATGTTTAAATTTCAAATTTTCATTATTCTGATCATGTCAATAGATGCAGAAAAAGTATTTCACAAAATCTGACAATGGTTTATGGTGAAAACACTCAGGAAACTAGAAATGGAGGGGAAGTTTGAAAACTTGACAAATAGTATCTCCAAAAATAATTCTACAGCTAACATCATACTTAAAGCTGAGTACAATGGACCAAATACTCATGACCTCCAAAAATTTGTACATTGAAATCCTAATTCCTGAGGTAACGATATTGGGAGGCAGGGCCTTTGGAAAGTTATTAGGTCATGAGGGCTGAGTCTTCATAAATAGGATTAGTTCCCTTATAAAAGAAGCCCAAGGGAGTCCTCTCATCCCTTCTACCATGTGAGAACACAGTGACAAGGTACCATCTATGAATCAGAAAGTGGCCCATCACCAAACACAAAATCTGCTGATGTTTTCATCTTAGGCTTACCACTTCCAGAAGTGTGGGAAATAAATTTCTGTTGTTCATTAGCTACGTGCTTTGGCATTTTGCTATAGAATTTTATGGGATTTTGTTCTAGAAGCCTGAATGGACCAAGATAGTAAGAAACTAAATGCTTTCTCATTAAGATCAGGTACGAAAAAAAAACGTCCCCCCCGGCCACTTTTTTAAAAGATCATTGAAATTTCTAACTAATACAATAAGACAAGAAAAGAAAAACATAAGGTATACAGAGTAGAAAGGATGAATAAAACATCTTTGTCCACAGTTAACATATTTGTCTATGTAGAAAATCCTAAAGAATCAACAAAAAATTCTCCTAGAAATAATAATTATAATAAGATTGCAGGATAAAAGGTTAACATTAAAAAGTCAACCACTTTTATATATACTGGCAATATGTAAGTGGAATTTGAATTACACACCCAATACTATTTAAAATTAGCAGCCCCCAAAATAAAATACTTAGGTATAAATCTAACAAAATATGTATAACACATATATGAAGATAACCATTAACTCTGATGAGTGTAATCAAAGACAAACTAAATATTTAAAAATATATTATATGTTCTTGGACAAAAAGACTCAAATTGTCAAGACATCAGTTCTTCCCATCTTGATCTACAGATTCAATGTAATCTCAATCAAAACTCCAAAGAGTTATTTTGTGGATGTCAATAAATTAATTCTGAAGTTTATTGAAAGGCAAAATACCCAGAATAGCCAACACAACATTGAAGGAGAAGAACAAAGTTGGAGGATTGACATTACTCAACATTAAACTTATTATAAATCTGCAGTCATGAAGATAGTGTGATATTGACAAATTAATAGATAAATAGATCTCAAAACAGAATAGAAAGCACAGAAATAGACCAACTGTTCTTTAACAAAAGAGCAAAGGCAGTACAGTAAAACAAATATAGTATTTTCAACAAGTAATGCTGGAGCAACTGGATATCCATATGCTAAACAAAATTAATCTAGACATAGACATTACACTCATTATAAAACTAACTCAAAATGGATTACAAACTAAATGTAAAATGCAAAACTATAAAACTCCTAGAAGCTAACATAAGAGAAAACTTAGATGACCCTTGGCATGGTGATAAATTTCTAGCTACAACACCAGAAGCACAATCTATGAAAAAAAATTGATAAACTGCACTTTATTATAAACATCTGAAATTTATGCTCTGTGAATGACCATGTCATGAGAATAAAAAGACAAGCTACAGACTGGAAGAAAGCGTTTGCAAAACACACATCTGATAAGATATTCATATACGATGAACTCTTAACTCAAAATAAGAAAACAAGCTACCTGATTAAAACTGGGCCAAAGATCTTAAGAGACACCTGACCCAAAAAGACATACAGATGATTAGTAAGCTCATAAAAACATGCTTTATACCCTATGTCATCAGAAAATGAAAATTTAAACAACTTTGAGATAACACTACACATCCATTAGAATGGTAGGTACCAAAACCTAGAACACTAACACCACCAAATGCTGGTATCCACACCTATAGAATCTATAAAACCAAGAGTAAACTCTAAATTCAACTATGGACATGGGGTGATTATGATGTGTTAATGTAGGTATATCAATTGTAGAAGATGTACCATCCTAGTGGGGATAATAGAGTAAGCTATGCATGTGTGGGGACAGGGTTATATGGGAAATCTCTGTATTTCCTTCTGATTTTTTTTCTGCGAGTCTAACACCACTTGGAAAAAAATGTCTTAAGAAAATTTTAATTGCTCATTACTAAAATTTAAGAAAGCAATTGACTTTGTATACTAACCTTGCATCCTACAACCTTGCTATAATTTCTTATTAGTTCAAGCAGTTTTGTTGTTGTGCATTCTTCAGGATTTTTTATATAGACTGTCATGTCATCTGCAAGCAAAGCCAGCTTTATTTTTCTTTCCTAAACTGTATATAATACTTAACTTTTATTTACTCTTTTCTTATTGCATTAGGCAGAACTTCAGTACAATGTTGAATAGATGTATGCTGTTAGCTCTACTTTTTTGGTAGATGATATTATTTATCGATTTGAGGGATACTTCCTCTAGTCCTAATTTACTGACAGCATTTATCATGGATGAGTGAAATAATTTTTCTGCATCTATTGGTACAAACATATGATTTTTCCTCTTAGCCTGTTGATATGATGGATTACACATTAATTGATTTTCAAATGTTGAACAAGTTTTGCATCTCTGGAATAAATCTCATTTGGTCTTAGTGTATAATCTTTAATGCACTGATAACTTTGATTTGCTAATAAATTTTTGAAGATTTTTGCACTTATGTTCATGAGAAATATGGTCTGTAGCTTTCTATTCTTGTAATGTCTTTGTCTGGGTTTGGAATTATAGTAATACTGGCCTTACAGAAATAATTATGAAGTGTTGTCTCTGCTTCTATTCTATGGAGAAGATTGTAGAAAATTATTATCATTTCTTTCATTAATGATTGATAGAACTCCCAAGTGAACAATTCTGGGACTGGTACTTTCTGTTTGAAAAGGTTATTAATTAATGATTCAGTTTCTTTAAAATATATATAGGTTCATTTATTCAGAGGATCTCTATGTCATTGTGTGAGTTTTGGTAGATTTTGTCTTTCAAAAATTTATTTCATCTAAGCTATCAAATTGTAAGGCAGAGAGTTGCTCATAATATTTCTTTATTATCCTTTTAATGTCCGTGAGGATCAGTTTCGTTAGCCCTTTCTTCAATTCTGATATTAATAATTTGGGTCTTTACTCTTTTTCTTCCTTAGCAGGGCTCAAGGCTTATCAATTTCATTGATCAACAGTCATACTTTTAGTATTATGTTTTACTTATGATTTTTTATGATACCCATAGCTACAATTGAGATGGTGATGCATACCCTATAGAATACACAGAAAATGTTGTAGATTTATAAGAAAATCCCAGGTAGTGGGATTTCAACTAAACTGGAAAAAAAATTTATAATCTTTAGACAGAAAATGACATGAATCTACTGGTTATATTTTTCAAAGTGTATTTTCTTACATTGAATATAATTAATTGTATAAAGAATCTGTACTGATTGCAATGTAATCTGTGGAAATTTTGTTATTTAAATACAGATAAATTTTAAAATTTAAATTTTATATTAACATATGGAGTACTGAAAGTGTAAGCTATCTTTCAAAATTTACCCCATTCTCTCAGATAGATATGGTCAAAAATTTCCATTATGAGAGGAGATCTCCCAGAAACATGCCCTAAAATAAAATTTAAATAAAAGTAATTTACTTTGAAAGTGATATTTGAAAGATCTAAAAGTAGAGTCTAGAAGTGAGACAGGGCAGGGAAGAGCGCTAAGACAGGTTGCATGGAAAAGCAAGTTATCATTATGTCAAGTAAGGCTTACTCATGCCAAGGACATCTGGGACTGATTAGACAAACCCTGTGAGTTTCCCCACCTTAAGCATGAAGAGGCTGGGGTTCACAATTGAGGACTTCTTCTGAGGATATTAATACTCTGATACTCCAGACCTATCTCATGCATGGGCTGAGCAAAGCCCACCGGCTAACAGTCACTGGTGTTTGCAATAAGAAGCCCATAATATGGTTGAAAAAAATAGGTACAAAGTAGTGTAGATAAGGCACTGATAGTGTCTGCTACAATCTACCCCTTGAACCACTAAGATCTACTGGTGATACTTCATGTTGACATTAAGGACACTGATTCTTCCAGGTGATGGCTGGTTATAATTTCTAAAATAACCTTATAAAAGGAAAAAAAAATGAAGAGTAGTTAGATAAGCTACAGTTCTCGCTGCCATAGCTCACCTCTAAACCAAAATTGGTATTTATCATCACCTTCCTCAACAATCATTCTAGATATGCTTTACATTTGGCCAGGATTTCTGATCATCTAGTTTGCTTGTCTGGTGTCTCAAGCTACATGTATACAATTAAGATCTTTAAACAACTGATTACTCGGGCGGGCTCTGTCCGTGATTATTGGTTCAGTGCTTCCTCTGCAACAGATGCTGCTCGGTGGAAAGTGATGTAAGAAATAAAGCTGTGGGCCTGGTGGCTCATGCCTGTATTCTCACCACGTTGGGAGGCCGAGGCAGATCACTTGAGGTCAGGAGTTCAAGGCCAGCCTGGCAGACATGGTGAAACCTCGTCTCTACTAAAAATACAAAAATGTGCTTGGCATTGTGGTGCTCACCTGTAATCCCAGCTACTTGGGAGGCTGAGTCAGTAGAATTTCTTGACTCAAGGAGGCAGAGGTTGCCTGGCCAAAATGGTGAAACCCCATCTCTACTAAAAATACAACAATTAGACGCACGTGGTGGCAGGCACCTGTAATCCCAGCTACTAGGTGGCTGAAGCAAGAGAATCACTTGTGCCTGGGAGGCAGAGGTTGCAGTGAGCCGAGATCACGCCACTGCACTCCAGCCTGGGTGACAGAGCAAGACTCTGTCTTAACAAAAAAAAAAAAAAAAAGAGAGAGAGCGTGAGCTGGGAATGAATACTGTTCCTCAGAGTCCATCTACCGGCCTTTCCTCCAGATTTTTTTTGTTTCCAGTTTTCCAGTCTCACATTTTCCAGACCCCTTATCATCAGTCCAAATTATGTGCTATTATGAGAAAAAACTCTTCCTATATCTAAATTTATGGAGTTCAGTTCCTGGTAATATATCTCTTCATCAATGCCTTTTAGGACTACCCTAAGAGGAGCTGTAGCAAGGTACTATATTGATCAGAGTTCTCCAGAGCAACAGAACAGAGAGAGAGGGAGAAAGGAGAAAGAGAGAAAGAGAGAGAGAGATTATTATTTCAGAAACTAGTAACACGATTGTGGAGGCTTGGTAAATCCAAAATTTTCAAGGTAGGCTGGCAGACTGGAGATCGTGGGAAGAGTTGCAGTTCAAGTCTGAAAATAATCTGCTGGCAGCATTTCCTCTTTCTCAGGGGAGGTCAGTCTGTTCTATTAAGACTTTCAACTGATCAGATGGGGATCACCCTCATTATAGAGGATGATCAACTTTACTCAAAGTCCACCAATTTAAGTGTTAATCTCATTCAGAAAACACCTTCATAGAAGCATCAGAATAATGTTTGATGAGATATCTGGGCACTACTGTATTGTCAAGTTGACAAAATATTAATCATCACAGGCACCAATATACCTAGCACATCCTTCACTATCAGTTCTTCATAGAAAATCACTCAGATTCTACTGATACAAACAGGAAGAGAGGAACTGAAGCAAGGAAGGTAAATGACAATTAACTCAACAATACTAACTGTTCCTATTGACACTAGGGGTGCCATTTCCACACCACCATTTCCTGCTACTTCTTTTACTTGCTCTTTCTGGGCCTGCTCAGAACCAACCCTGAATATGCCATCTCCATCACGTAAAGTATTTGAACTATCCTCATCCAACATTTGGGTTTGATGGATCTGACAACACTCAACTCATGTCAAGCAGCTTCAACAGAATCATAGTCACCTGACATCCTACAGTCAGGCATTCAATCTCCATGAGGTATCAGCAGCATTCTGGAAGCTGCTTTTTAAATTATAAAAAGTTTTCTTTTGAAGATAGCATAACCTAGGGTTTTATGCTATGAGTTCTTTATTGAGGATTGTCAGAGACTCCATGCATCATCCTTATGACACAGATAACACTATATGGCTTTGACCAGGTCACATGACCCACAAGTTAGAGCTAACTGAACTTCAGGCTAAACCTAGAGCATTATCCTCTCTTTCTATAGGTTCCACTTAAAACTGCCAGCCTTCCAAAATCCAGGCAGTACTTTAAATGTGACATTTGCTGTTTCCACATTCTAAAGCAGCCTATCAAGTTCTATGCTCCTTTGTTTTGATAAGAAGTACAGCGTGTATTAACTTTTAATTCAAATTGGAGGACAGACATGCCCAAGCATATGCAAGAAAAATTGATCCCTTAAAACTTTTGATGTGGCAGATCTATGAAAATTTGTACAGATGATCTCTCACTGTCTTGTTTACATGCATCTTACCAGGAGAGGACATCCAAAGTATTTACTTCTTACTCTCAAGCCAAATTAACCAAATTCCATCATTATAATAGACCAGTGCATTTTTCATTATTATGTCAAGATGGTTAAATCCCCTTTCTTTTATGTTGATAGAGAACAAAAGGGTTTACTTTGTCCTGGGGAAAGGCCCTGGGTGACTGCAAACTACTTTGTCTTCAATTTTGATGAAAATCAAAAGAAACATATTGACTAGATCAAAGAATACAGTGTCAGAATATGTATAAAAGATTCTACATTATATGCTTGAAACCGTAAAACAATGATGGCCTACAATAAAAGAAGAAAGAACTGTTGGCAACACCTATCCACCAGAAATAAGGCAGGCAGAATTCTGGGATTATCAGCAAAGTTGAAAAAGCAAATAGAAATCCCCAACTTGCAAGATCCTGTAGTGGAGATAAGTAGAAAAATGAGAAGCAGCTGCAGTAGGGACTATACAATCATCTCTCATGATCTCCTCTCATTTATATGATGAAAGCCATTGAATTAAGTGTGGTTCTCTGCATTCCTTAAGCCTTTAGGTGTGGCATTAATCTATGCCATTCTACTTGGGATGCGGCACTGTTTCTGATTTACAATGTTGGCTGTAAAATAAGTTTCAAAGGCTTCCACTTGACTTCTCCTAACATAATCTTTCATTGCTGCACATGAAAGAGAACCAATGCAATAATCGACCATCTGTTAAGTAAATCCATGCCAATTATTCACATAGAAACTGGAGAAATAACTGCAAGATGGGTTTCCAGAATCTTTGGACATTTGAGATAGACCTGGGCCTGGTGTGCATTTACCACCTTGTATCCATATACTCCTATTCTAATGGGAGACATTGATTTCATTTTGGTTCACCTGGTATTACATTCAGCTTGGCTGCTCATAAACGTTTCTGTTTCATCTGCTGTCCTCAATATACATTACTCTTTTGGGGCAATAGCCACCAAATACACTCTGCAGAATTTCAGGGTCTTTGTTCAAAAAGATATGTGGATAAGTCTTTTATTCAATCAACTGACTCTGGATCTGAGATTTGGCTCAGGTGAGGAGACTGAGTTAGATATTATGATTTTTCCACTGTAGCAATAAATATTAGACATTGACTCACCCACTCTTGGTATTTTATGGCTATATAAGTGAAAACAAACACACACACACACACACACAAAAAAAAAAAACAACAGTTGGTTGTGCATCTCTCTCATCCCTAGGAACACCATAGTCTATCAGCCATCACTATAAATCCTTGCGAGTCAAGAATCTCTAATTGCAATGTCAGTTTACTGATCCTCGCAGTAATTCTGTTTGCCTTGTTTCTGATGGTTACATTCTGCTAACAGTTCTCTCTTCATTTCTTTTAATAAAGGCCATTCTTATTTCCAAGTTTTAAACAGTCATGATAATAGCAAATAAAAATTATATAAAATCATATTCCCTGAATCAAAAATATCCTGGTATCAACAAAATTTCACTTACCCAGGCTTATTGTCCACATTCTGTAATGTAGTATTTTCAAAGTTTATTCACAAGCGTGTCCTCATGGTTCTTCCTGGAATGTTAGCTAGATCTTATAAATTTTTGGATAATGTCATGTTTTTTCTTCTGGATTATGGCCACTGAAATCATTCTGAAATTTGAGCTAGTTATTGTTCTAGAGGCAATAAGTGTGGAAATGGAAGGGAACCAGTAGAAAGTTATTATCCTGCAAAGTAACTTTCTCAAGTAAAATATTGAATGCTCTCTAGATATTGGGAGGATGTTCTCTTCTGGAGGTTATCAGGGGTCAGCTCCTTTCAACCCAAAGGTTCAAGGGCATCTGGGAAATGAAAGTTCTCATATACATACAGAAAAATGTCTCAATGCATTGCTTCAGGACCTACTTCTATTTCCTTTACTTCAGTGTAGGAAACTTGCAGGGACTGTGGACTTGGTTTCAATTATAACTTTGCCATACTCATAATCATTTCTTGGTCCATTTAATTTACAATAGAGTCATCTCTCTCACTGCATGAGATAAGTTATTTTAAATACTGCTTTAAAATATTTGTGGCATTCACTTCGTATACTAAATTCTTAGCCAACTGAATTGAGTCTGATATTTTCATACTTTGGCACTTCTCTGGCAATTAATAACAGCCAACTAAATCCACAAACATGAAAATCATCATTGCTTTCATATTTTTCAAGCACATGAGCTACTACTTAGGACAGTATAACCCCTTCCATCTCTAGCCGATACCAATCCATCATTTAATAATCTTGGTGCTACAATATGCCAGGCTAGGCAGTAATATTCTCCACATAGTCTCAATAAAGTTGCTGACATCTGGCCTGCAAGTGACCCATTGCCTGTTCCCATTCTAAGGGTCTCTTCTTAGGAGCATTTTAAGTACCAAGTGCATTATTCTTGGTTTCCCCAAACACATACTCTAAGGCAAAAGATTCAAATGCAAGTAATCTATTTGAGAGTTAAGTACAAGAATCACCAGAGAGGGGATGGAGAAATGAAAAAGGGAAATTAAGAGAAATTCAATATATTTTAATGAGCATGTTAGCACTAGGAGAAACGGGCTATATGTTTTGTTAGGGATCTCTGGCAGATAATACAGGACATGACTCAGAGTTAGCTCAAGGAGCAGAAATTATTATACCCCAGTTTCTATCCATCAGATGTTGCCAGGTAAAGAAACGGAGGAAATGAGCAAAGTTTAAAGTATTTCCAAAGGACTGATTTTCCTTATGGTCAATAACTCTATCTAATTGGAAAATAAATACAAGAAGATACAAATAGAAACCTGAGAATTCAAAGGACTGAGAGAGTTAAAAAAGACAAAAAATGGTGGTTAATGGATTTGAGTAGCTGAGATAGAAAGAAAAATGTCTGTGATTTCAGATGAGAAGCTGCAATTTAAATATTTTGCATATTAAAATTTGGACAATAAAAAATCCAAAGGTGTTCAGAGTGCTGGTTTTCTCCAGAGGAGCTGAAGGAGAGATAAGGAGAAGGGATCAAAAGATTAAGTAGGAAACCAAAATAAATTAGAATAAATTAAAATTGATTTAAATTGTGAAGAATAAGCAAATAAATATATTTATAAATTATATACTGAAGTGTATAAAACTTCTCTATGAATAAAATAATTATCATCATGTTTTCAAAAATGAAAAACACAAAGCATACTCTTGTAGTTATAAAAATTGTTTCCAACCATTCAAAAGCAACCATACTGAGCATCTTAATTTGTAATTTTAGTTTAATGATCACATAAAGTGATTAACTGAACTATACCAATAAAACTTATTCTTAAGTCTCCAGAATATTTACATTTAACTCTTAATATGTGCAAATGCAGTTCTGTATTTAATATGTAACACTGTTCAGCTCTTAATTCTTGGCCAGTGTGGCAGGACCCAGTTTAAAAGTAATAAAGGAGATATTTAATACTTAAAAGAATGTGAAAAGAAAAACCTCTAATATAAATAATTGGAAGGTATTTCAATTTACAACATGTTTTGGAATAATTTTATTAAATAATAGTCTAAGTTAAGCTTACATTGTTACATTTTATATTTTATTTTCCTGTCAAAACTTAGAGTACTTAATACAACAGCTGAGTAGATAAATTATTCATCATCACACCTGGTTTTGCATTGAGTAATGAAAAATTTACATCATTATTTAACAATTAAAACTTTCCCCATTTATCTCCAAATTTAAAGTGCACTTTCAGATATAAATTAAGTTGTACTATGTTTACTGTAGAATTTTGGTCATGTTTTATATCTAGTATATAACACTGACACTGATTTGTTACCTTTGCTGAATTTGAGTAAAGTATATCACAAAATTTTCACATTTCAAATATTTTATATTATACCTTTGTCCTTGCAATGGAGTGAATATTTTTGTCTCCCCCTCCCCCAAATTCATATGTTGAAATCCCAACTCTTAATATGATAGTATTAGAAGGTGGAGCTTTTGGGAAAAAAATAAGTCATGAGAGTGGAGCCCTCATGCATGGGATTAGTGTCCTTTTAAAAGAAACCCTACAGAGCTCTCTCGCCCGTTTTCTGGTATGTGAAGATACAACAAGAAGGAGGCAGTCTGCAACCTGGAAGGGAGTTGTCACCAAATATCAAGCAGGCTAGCACCCTGATCTTAGATTTCCAGCCACCAGAACTCTGAGAAATAAATTGCTGTTATGTATAAGCAACCCAGTTTATGGTACCTTGTTATAGCATCCCCAACTGAGTAGGACCATAATGAATTGCTTGAATGTACCACAATTCATATGTTAAAACACTAACCCCCAGTGGGATACTAACATGGGGGTTTGGGAGGTAGTTAGGTCATGAGGGTGTGACTCATAATTAGATTAGTACCCTTCCAAGACACATGCCATAGACCTTGCTTTCTCTCCCTCTGTCCCTCACCAGCATAGGAGAACATAACCAGAAAACAGGCCCTCATCAAACTCAGAACCTGCTGGCACCTTGATCTTGGACATCCCAACCTTCAGATTTATGAGAAATAAATTTCTGTTGTTTAATTCATCCAGTTTATGGTATCTTGTTATAGCAGCCTCCACACAAACGTTTTCCAAATATCATTTCAAAATACATTAGCCAAAACAATTTTTCAAAGTGTGGTTACTCTTCCACTTAGTTGTTAAATCTAAATATATATTTAACATTTCAGAAAGTGCCCTTCACTAATTGTTTTCATTAGTGCTAAACTTGTTTTGTGTGGTAATATTAAAAGAGTTGCTGTCAGTAGTAATCAGTTTGAATGATATTAAGTGGTTCCTTGTGATACCTAGTTACTGAAGTCTTACTATAACAGATAAATGTTTTACTCACTTAGAAAAAGAAGTGCCACACAGGTAGTTACGGATTTAAACAGGTGTAAAGATTACTAGAATTTTTTTTCCTGTTCTTGGTTACTTTCTATTGAGTAGAATATTATTGCAGGTGACAGATATAAATCATTTGCCATGTCTTCTCCTTGTTAAATTTCATTGTTCTAGCAGAATAAGTTGGTAAACAAGTGCTGAAACAGATAA
Organism: Homo sapiens; assembly: GCF_000001405.40. Lineage (NCBI taxonomy): Eukaryota > Metazoa > Chordata > Mammalia > Primates > Hominidae > Homo > Homo sapiens. The sequence goes on from NC_000004.12 coordinate 116,220,408, forward strand.
CCACAGATCTAATTTAGGGAAGGTGGTTAGCCAATCGTAAAGCTGTAATATAAAAACCACTAGGAGGAGAATGTAATATTGTGATTGTTAAGTTGAAGTAATTACAAGCCATAGAAAAGTCCAAAAAATGTCCTTTCTGTGAATTATTATTTCGTATCCATAAATTTCCCTAAAACTCTGGAAGCCTGTTTTCATTAGTCTATCACTGCCCCACATCTTGTTGATCCACATTTTAAACTCTTTTGAGACAATCCACCCTAAATCCACACATGCATAAGACCTTACATACTTTATATTGAATATACCAACATTTATTAAAATTCAGAAGAGATATAAAGATTAAGGAAGACACCTGACTTCTTTTTAAACATGTGCCTAATAAAGACCTTTTGCTTCACCACAGGGCAAACATCATTGGCCCTTCATTTATGCACACTTATACTTCTTCTTCTTCCTCTTTACTTTTCTGTTTTCCTATATTTCCTTTATTTTCCTAGAAAGAATTATAAAATTAATTTTCCCCTTTATTTTTGTTTTGCACATTACTTTAGCCATTTTTCTTTATTGCCCAGATTGTAACATCTGTGCAAATCCTCAGGTCTTTTCTCATGTATTAGTGTCGTAGGCCTGCCATAGTAATTTACCATAAACCTGATGGCATATAATAGCAGCAATTCATTCTCTCACAGCTCTGGAGACCAGAAGTCTGAAATCAGTGTGTTAACAGGGTCACTCTGTCAGGAATATTTCCTCCTTGCCTCTCTAGCTTCTAGTGGCTTCAGGCACTCATTGACTTGTGGCTGGGTAATTCCAATCTCTGATTCTCTCATTGCATGGCCTTGTCCTCTTCTTGTGTCTTCTCCTTTTCTGCTTTTTTAGAAGCATAATTGTCACTGGAGTTAGGGTCCACCAGAGTAATCCAGGATGATCTCAATATTTTTAATTATAGCTACAATGATCTTTTTTCCAAATGAGGTCATATTCATAGGTTGTCTTTATTTTGGTGTGGGGGGGGCGCTATTCCACTCACTATACCACTTAAATGGTGTCAGGAAAGGGGAACTTGCTATTGGGTACACGAATTTCAGTCAATAAAAACAATAAAATTTTGTGTGGTCAGTTGCTCAAAAAGTGAATTAATCTTGTGGGTGACTTGAGAGATCAAGTGCATGGTTTGATCTTTTGACTTGGGGCTTTATATGCTGACATACAGAGCGACCTGCAGTTGTGTACTTGACCAGTGCCACAGCTTGCTTTTGCTGGAAATGGGAATACAGTGCTAGGCACAAGAGTAGCTGAGGAAACAAGATTTAGGACAAATGTGTAATCATGCTTGGGGGAGCAAGAAAGGTGTCCATGATTCTGGGCACTCACTTGTCTGGTAGTTGTGTAGATGGGTTCAGCTTGTGACAGTACATCAAGTTGTATGCTTAAGGTTTGCAAACTTCTTAGTATAAATATAAGTAAAATATTTAAAAGAAACAATTTTTTAGGCATTTAAATCAAGCTATTGTTTCAAAGTAACTATTGTGCTGTTGTTTAAGGCTTTTTTTTTTTGAGATAGAGTTTTGATCTTGTTGCCCAGGCTGGAGTGCAATGGCGTGATCTCGGCTCACTGCAACCTCCACCTCACCGGTTCAAGGGATTCTCCTGCTTCAGCCTCCTGAGTAGCTGAGATTACAGGCACGTGCCACAATGCCTGGTTAATTTTGAATTTTTAGTAGAGACAGGGTTTCTCCATGTTGGTCAGGCTGGTCTCCAACTTCCAACCTCAGGTGATCCACCCACCTTGGCCTCCCAAAGAGATGAGTACAGGCGAGAGCCACCGCGCCTGGCTGTTTAAGGCTTTTTACGTGTTTTTCCAGCGGGATTTCTTTGCAAGTTTCATGACAAACCATTTATATGTTTTAAAAACTGAAGTCGATTTAACTGTCCATAATGCAAAATCACTTACTATGCTTTTCCTTTAGAATCACTGTTTTTAAAAGTTAAGCTATGGATTCAGTAACAATGAGCATATCTAGCACATAGCTATGGTTTCTAATACTGTGGCTGTTTTTACACTGGGACAAGAAATACATAGGAAGAACATGGAGAATCTTTTAGTAGCAGAAAGTAAGGAGGTACATAAACACATACACACACACACACACACACACACACTGATAGGGGTATCTCAAAAGGAAATAAGAGCCAACTGAAAGATCTGCCTACGTTACCAGCAGCGAATCCATACGTTCTGCAGCAACCTCAATTCTTGCCTTCTCATAAGAAAGAATTGGACTGAGGGGCATAAGACAGAAGGAGAGACCAACGCAGAAGTGAAAGTTTATTAAAAACCTTTAAGACAGGAATGACAGGAAGTACAGTATGCATGGAAGAGGGCCAAGCAGCTACCTGAAAGATCAAGTGAGTGGTTTGACCTTTTGACTTTGGGCTTTATATGTTGGCGTACTTCTGTGGTCTTGCCATTTTCTCCCCTGATTCTTCCCGTGGGGTAGGCTGCCTGCATGTGCAGTGGCATGATAGCACTTGGGAACTGAGTATGTGCGTGTGTTTACTGGAGTTGTATGTCTGCTCATTTGAAGTGTTCTTCCCTTACTAGTCTAGCATTCCTGGAGGAAGGTCATATGCCAGTTAAACGCCTCCATTTTTTCCTCTTAGTGCGCATGCCTGAGCCCACTCACCACCCACCTCCTGAGATCTTATCCTGAAGCTGCCGATCACCAGTATCACGTGTTTCTATCTATTAAGAGACAGCCTTTCCCTGGCACCAGCTGTGACCAATTATTATTTTAGTGACACAGTTAACGACTGCCTGCCCATCACCTTATGGACATCTGACAATTCCTGGTGTGTTTGTGTTGGAAAGCCCTCTCCTGCCCGGTTCATGCCTGATGAGCTACCTACAATAACATCTACAGCTAAAGCTGGAACAATTTGAGCAACAACATAAAGAAATTAGTATTATAGCTCAGAGTATAAAATATATATCAAGCACCTACAAATAGTATATTGCTAAATAAATGAGAAAAATTGATATCCTATGCAAAATAATTTTAAGTCATTTATGTAGATACTCTGCCCCCAGGGAAATGGAGCATAATTCCCTATCTCTTAAGTGTGAGCTGCCTAGAATGACGCCTTTAGTAAACTGACAGTGACAAAACCGGTCACAGACTTCCTCAGCCAGGCAATAGAGGTTCACAGCAGGGGTAAGTCATGTTAGTATTGATATTGATATGCTATGAAAAGAATGACACTTAATCCTTGTGGTCTTCCTCCCCAAACCCTAAATCCTCAGTCTTATAATCATGGGGAAAATGTTAAACAAATTCATATTACAGATATTGTAAAAATACTGTTAACATCATCCAAAACAAAGTATTGAAAAAATCCACTGTCTATTAGGAACCTAAAAAGACATAACAAGTAAGTACAATGTGGTATCACGGATGGATTTCTGGAACAGAACAATGAACATTGTGTAAAAACAAGGAAAATATGAATAAAGTATGAACTTCAGTAAATAGTAATGTATCATTACATTCATCAATAGGACAAATATACCATAATAATGTAATAAGATGTTAATTACACAAAACAAAACTGGCTGTGGGGTAATTGGAGCACGGTACTATATTTTTAATTTATCTGCAAATTTAAAACAATTCTAAAATAAAAAGTTTGCTTAAAAAATTTTAAAATCCAAGATAAATAGAGGAATAAATGAGGAATAATGTGTGATAAAACAACTGTAATGGTTGAATCTATGTAGGTACTATATACTCGTTCAGTGTTAAATTCTGTTAACATCACTATTTATTTGAAAATTAGAATAAATAGGTGAAAGGAAAGAATTAAGTTCAGTAGAAGGATCAAACTCAATAATTTATGCCAAATGAGTCTCCCATGACCATGAAAATACTTACACATAGGAAAAAATGCTTTTACATTTATCTGAGAGTTCTTTTTTTAACATACCATAAGACCATGTATTCATTTATTAATATTTATTGAAGGTTTTTTGATAAGTTTATAAAAATTTAGGTCTTTTGTTTTTGAGACAGGTTCTCACACTGTCACCCAGACTGGAGTGCAGTGGTGTGATCTCGGCTCACTGAAACCTCCCCATCCCTGGTGCAAGCAATCCTCCCACTTCAGGCTCCCCAGTACCTGGAACTACAGGCACACACCACCACGCCTGGCTAAGTTTTGTATTTTTTGGCAGAGATAGAGTTTCACCATGTTGTTCAGGCTGGTCTCAAACTCCTGACTTCAGATGATCCACCTGCCTCGGCCTCCCAAAGTGCTGGGATTACAGGCATGAGCCACCACACCTGGCCAAATTTAGTCCTTTTTAAAATTCTACAGTCATTGTTATTTCTTAGTTGACAAATGTTTTGAAGTGTCTATTCTTATATTAGACTTCACTTAGGAAACAGTAACAGAAATACTAAGCTAGGATTTCTGATGAGTTTTATCAACCTAGACTTAAAGCCATGGCTCTAAGTGCTTAGATGATATGCTTCTCTATGATTAAATTAAAGTCTTACCATTTGTTCCAAATGTTTTCTAAATCAAATGAATATATGCATGTGAATATGCAAGCAGGTGTGGGAAATTTAAATATTTTGAAGTCATATACAGAATTTAAATAGTTAAAATATGCAGTGACAGTGGAGAAATTTTCTTTTTACTTACTACTATAAAATCAAGTATAATTATTTTCTCTGGCATTTCTTTACAAATATGCAATATTATAGAATGTTAATAATCAAGTGGTATTTTTGCTTTAATTTCTCTTTCACAAAGTTTGGTTCTAAAATGTGAATATTTATGAGAGAGATAAGATGCAAAAAAGAAAGTTTATTATAGGTCTCTATAATCTTTGAGAAGTTCACATGACTGAGAAATATAAAATAATTTGATATTCAATGACTGAATATACTGAGGTCCAAATAATTCCTTTAACTTGATTTGTTAGACACAGAGCTACTCATAATATTTTTTCAAAATCTAAGTGTGATGTGAAAAAAGATATTGCTATAACAAGGTTTTATATTTTTTTAAAAAGAAGGAAAACTGTAAAATCTTTTGATTTGAAAGAGTAAGTTTACATTTTGTAACATAAAATGCTCTTCAGCTTACGATGGGGTTATGTCCCAATAAACCCATCTTTAAATTGAAAATGCTGCCAAGTTGAAAATACATTTAATGCAAATAAAAACTACAATGAATTATCATCTCACACCAGTCAGAATGTCTATTATTAAAACGTCAAAAAATAACAAATGCTGGTTAGGTTGTGGACAAAAGGGAGCCCTTATACACTGCAGAAAGGAATGTAAATTAGTTCAGTCACTGTGAACAGCAGTTTGAAGATTTCTCAAAAAAATTTAAAACAGAAGTACCTTTAGACCCAGTAATCCCATTACTGAGTATATATCCAAACGAGTATATATGTATTTATATCATAAAGACACATGCATGCAAATTTGCATTGTACCACTTTTCACAATAGCAAGGACATAAAATCAATCTAGATGCTCATCAGTATTTGACTGGATAAAGAAAATATAGTACATATACACAGTGGAATACTGCACAGCCATAAAAAGAATGAAACCCTTTCTTTTGCAGTGAAATGGATGCAACTGGAGGTTGTCATCCTAAGTGAAGTAATGCAGGAACAGAAAAACAAATACCACATGTTCTCCTTTATACGTGGGTCTAAATTCTGAGTACACATAGACACAAAGAGGGTAACAATAGGCACTGCAACTTACCTGAGGGTGGAGGGTGAAAGGAGGATGAGGATTGAAAAACTATCTATTGAGTAGTATGTTTACTACTTGGGTGATGAAATCACTTGTACACCAAACAAGTGACATGCAATTTACCCATGTAACAAACCTGCACATGAACCACATGACAGTGAAATAAAAGTTGGAAAAAAAAAGAAAGAAAGAAACATAAGAGAGGCCAATAAAAAGCTTTTGGGGGCCAAAAAGAAATAAAAACAGAAAAAAGCTTTCTTTGGCCAAAAAAAAAAAGCAAAAGATTATGCATTTAATACTATACCTAACCTACTGAGCATCGTACCTTTACCCTAGCCTACCTTAAATGTGCACAGAATATTTACATTAGCCTGTTTCATAATAAAGTGTTGAATTACTACTCTTGCTTCTTTATTTCTATAAGCTAGTTAAAATGATGAAGAAAAAATTAAGTGAGAGAAAATTTAGTCTTATGTAGTATGATACATTTAAAAAACAAATATTGAATTAAAAGTCAGAAAGCTTGAAGTTACCTAGATTTTTCAAAATAAACTTTTGTTATCATGGAAAAGACACTTGACTCTCTGTGCTTCTATTTAGTTATTTACATAGTTAGAGAATTACGTTAAACAAAATCTATAAACTTCTGCTCTAAAATTTATTCTATCAATAGACATGTTTATTGGAAAATATGCTAGATGCAATGATTTATAATCTCAAAGGATACCACTATTCTTCCATCACGAAAGTTAGCTCCAGCTAGTGAGTAGAGCCAAGACTGCAAATAGTATATAGGTCACTGCATCTGAATATTCAAATAGCCAAAGGCCAAACTGGCATTAAAGTACAAAATATTTATGGGTATAAAGTTATAATAAGAAAAAATTGTAGAAATATTTTTAAATAATTAAAAATATACATTAAGAATGTGTGTTAAGGAAGAGTCTACTCTGATTGGATTGGATCTTTTGGTAAAACTGTTGTCATTTTTGAAAAATCTGTTTATTTCACTCACATTTTATGGTTTACTCCTAATGTTTGAATAAAAAGAAATAACATGGCAGGTTAATAAAAGAGGACCAGTAGAAAGAGTCTGACTAAGGTTATGTTATTAGCTATTTTTACAAACATGCATGTATGCACACACATGCACACACACACACACACATTTAACATCAAATAATTAGGCAAAATAAAAGATGTTAATGTATTTTAATTTCCACATTATGACTAAAAGTATAATTATTACGACTCTGCATTATAGGGTCTGTAATTTTTTTCTTTGAATTGTATAAATAGACTGCATATCTAAGGAATTCATTGTTCTGCACCTATATGTTCCAAATACATATTTTTCAGCTTATGTTTCCAGACAGTTAATTTTTTAAAAGACATTTTTGAACTATATTATTGGATCATATCAAATATGTAAATTTTATTCATATTGAGAAAAATAAAGCAGGGTTACTTACACAGAACATGTACTTCAGTGATGAATGGTAAGTACTAATATTGCCACATCAGTTGCAACTTCAAGTTTATAAGTACTACATATTATTCTCCTTTGAACATAATGGATGGAACAAGTTAGTTTGGTTGCCTTCGGGGGATCTAAGAATAAAGACAAGTAGCAGATGGCTTACTGTTGTCAGATCAGCTATGTGAGATTGGGACAAGGTGGACAACCCTAAGACTTCTGGTCCAGGAGGAAAGGAGAAGAGGGAAGTTTGTATCCAACACCCCAGGCTTTTAGAGCACTTCTATAGGGAAAGAGAGAACCTGGCTTATTGTAGCTAGTATGGCTATGTGAGATCCAGAGAAGGCACAGAACACTGAGACATCACCAAAAGGAGGAAGGAAGAGTAGTAGAGCATACATGTCACAGAAAAGATTTTAGAGGCTTCCAGAATATCTAGGTAGGTTTATTGCTATAGGTCTTTTTTTATTGAAATTAACTTGTAAAAACGAAAAATTGGCTGTTCCTTTCAATGCACAAATACTAACATAAAGCAACAAGAAACATGAATAATCATGGAAACATGACAAATGAACAAAATAAATCTCCACTAACTGACCTTCAAGAAATGAAGATCTGTGAATTGTCTGACAGGGAATTCAAAATGAAGGTCTTAAAGAAGCTTGGTAAATTATAAGAGAACACACTACACAACTAAATGGAATCAGGAAAATAATGCATGAACAAACGAGAATATCAATAAAAATATAGAAGCCATAAAAATAACCAAATAGAAATTATAGAGCTAGAGATACAATAACTGAAACAAAAAGAAATCAATACAGAGTACCAAAAGCAGACTTGATCAAGCAGAGAAAAGAATCAGTAAACTCAGAGGAACAAAAAAAGAAAGAAAAATCAGGCAAAAAAATTAGAAACATACAAAACATCATTAAGCGACCAATGAATGCCTTATGGAAGTCACAGAGGGAGAAGAGATAGAGAGAGGGTCAGATATATTCTTTAAAGAAAACTCCCTAAACCTAAGGAGAAAAATGTATATTCAGATCATGAAGACCAAAAGATCTCTAAGTAGAGGAACTCAAAGAAATCTATTCTGAGACACATCACAATCACATCATCAAACGATCAAGACAAACAGAGAATTTGAAAGCAGCAAGAGAAACGACACTCATCATATGCAAGAGAGCTTCCATATCAGCACTTTGCTAAACAGAAACATTTCAGGGCAGAAAGAAGTGGGATGATAGATTCAAAGTGCTGAAAGAAAAAAATCCGCCAACTAAGAATATGTATTTGGTAAAAGTGCCATTCAAACACGAAGAAATAAAAACTTTCCCATATAAACAAAAGCTGAGGCAGTTTATCACCACTAACCTTTCTTATAATAAATGCTAAAGGAAGTCCTCCAGTTTGAGACAAAAGGGCATTAAATAGAAACATGAAGGTATATGAAAGTATAACTCACTGGCAAAGCAAATATATAGGCAAATACAGAATACAGTAATGGGGGCATGTAAATACATTGTAATTTTTAGTACATAAGTTAAAAGACAAAAATATTAAGAATAACTACAATTACATAAAATTTTAATGGATACACAATATACAAGATGTAAACTGTAACATCAGTGGCATAAAGTGTGTTTGCAGGAGAAGTAAAAGTGTAGCTTTACATATATGCAATTTATGATAAATTATTTCAACTTAAAATGACTATTATAAGAATAAGAACTTATATGAGATCTTTATGATAACCACAAAGAAAATATCTATAAGGGACTTGTATTAGTCTCTTTTCACACTGTTATAAAGATACTGCCCAAGACTGGATAATTTATAGAGGACAGAGGTTTAATTGACTCACAGTTCTGCATGGCTGGGAAGGCCTAAGAAAATTTACAATTATGGTGAAAGGTAAAGAAGCAGCGAGCACCTTTTTGACAAGGCAGTAGGAAAGAGAGAAGTGAAAGAGGAACTTACAAACACTTATAAAACCTTCAGATCTCATGAGAACTCACTCACTACCATGAGAACATCATGATCGAATCACCTCCCTCCCTCTACATGTGGGATTACAGGTCCCTTCCTTGACATGTGGGGATTACAATTCGAGATGAGATTTGGGAGAGGAAACAGAGCCAAACCATATCAGGACTCAACTTAAATTTAAGAACATACAAATGTTGAACATAAAAAGATGAAAAAAGGTATTCCATGCAAACAGTAGAAAAAAAAGGAGTCAAGGTTAAAATTATATCAAACAAAATAGACTTAAATCAAAAATTATCTCAAAAGACCAAAAGACAAAGAAGTTAATCTATAATAATAAAAGATCCAAGTCATCAGGGAATTACAACAATCCAAAACATATGCACTCAACATCAGGGTGTATATAGAAATTAAACAATGCACACCTGAACAACCAATGGGTGAAAAAAGAAAAGAGAAATTCTAAAATACTTCGTAAAAAATGATAATGAAAACAAAACACACCAAAGCTTAAGGAATGAAGCAAAAGCAGTACTAAGAGGGAATTTTATATCAATAAATGGCCTACATTAACAAGGAAGAAAGAGCATCAATAAACAACTTACGTATATACCTAGAGAAACCAGGAAAAGAACAAACTAAGCCCAAAATTAGAAGAAGAAGGATTAAAGCAGAAATAAACAAAATGGAGAATAGAAAATCCAACAAAACTAGGTATTGGGGTTTTATACGATGACAAAACTTTCTTAAAACAAGAAAGAAGGCAGAAAACTCAACAAACAAAATCAGAAATTAAAAGGAGATATTATAACTGATGTTGCATACATAAAAACTACTGTGAACATATGAGCAACTGTACATCAAAACAATGGATAATCTAGGTGGAATAGATAAATTTCTAAAAACATACACCTGCTATGAATGAATTATGAAGAAACAGAAAACCTGAACAGACCTACAACACGTAAGGAGATTGAATAAGTAAACAATAATGTCCCAATTAAGAAAAGCCCGGGGCCAATTTGCTCCACAGGTGAATTCTACCAAATATTTGAAATGAATTATGCCATTCCTTCTCTTCTCAAGAATTGAAGAGAAGCTTCTCTTCTCAAGAATTGAAGAGAAGCTTCTCTTCTCAAGAATTGAAGAGAAGCTTCTCTTCTCAAGAATTGAAGAGAAGCTTCTCTTCTCAAGAATTGAAGAGAAGCTTCTCTTCTCAAGAATTGAAGAGAAGCTTCTCTTCTCAAGAATTGAAGAGAAGGACACATTTACAAACTTATTTTTATGATGTCAGCATTACAAACTTATTTTATGATGGCAACATTGCCCAGCAAAGCTAGGCAAAAGTACTGCAAGAAGAATAAACTTCAAGCTAGAAATATACTTGATAAAACCTAGTTCCAAAATTATTAACAGAATAATAGCAAACTGAATAGCTGTTGAACTCAACAGAACATTGAAAACATCATACAGTATGTTCAAGTGAGATTTATCTTTGAGCGGCAAGGATATTTCAATATATGCAAATATGATACACCACATTAACAAAAACAAAGTGTACTAATCAGATGAGCATAATCATCTTAATAGATTCAGAAAAAGCATTTGATAAAATTCAATACTCTTTTATGATAAAAATATTCAATAAACTTGGTAAAGAAGAAATTTAACTCAACATAATAAAGGCCACAGTAGTAGACTTGGATGTAAGTTCTTCATATATGAAAAACAAGATGTGGGGAAATGCAAGAAAGAAGCAAGGGAGTATTTCAAATGAAAACTCAGGGGAAGCTACAATGTTTTATCTATGTACAAGTCTTTATATGAACTTTAAAGGGCAAAAGAATAAGTACATAGAATATCCATCTGATAAGGACAAAGGATTGTGGAAACTTTGGGATTCTTCTGACATTTATTTGGTAACTACTTTGCCTTATATAAATTCCAAGACCATTTTGTAAAGTTAAACAAAGAATAATTAATATATTGGATTCATAATTTATAATCATATTTAGTTTATATAATGGTTAACTATATGTCTCTACTTTGCGGGTCCACAGTGCCTAGATACATGGTCAAACATTCTGGATGTTTCTGTGAGGGTATTTTTTTTACGAGATTAACACTTAAATCAAGGGACTTTTTGAGAAAAGCGGATTACTTTCCCTAATATGAGTCGGGTTTTTTTTTTTTATCTTGTTTTTTTATTTTATTTTATTATTATTATACTTTAAGTTTTAGGGTACATGTGCACAATGTGCAGGTTTGTTACATATGTATACATGTGCCATGTTGGTGTGCTGACCCATTAACTGGTCATTTAGCATTAGGTATATCTCCTAATGCTATCTCACCCCCTCCCCCCACCCCACAACAGGCCCCAGTGTGTCATGTTCCCCTTCCTGTGTCCATGTGTTCTCATTGTTCAATTCCCACCTATGAGTGAGAACATGCGGTGTTTGGTTTTTTGTCCTTATGATAGTTTGCTGAGAATGATGAGTCGGCTTTATCCAATCAGCAGAAGGGCTGAATAGACCAAAGGACCGACCTCCTGCGGATAAGAATTCTGCCAGCAGATGGCTGTCAGACTTGAACTGCAACCTTGTCTCTTCCCTAAATTATCACACCTCAGACTTCAGACTGCATTGTCTCTTTCCTGGAATCCAGCCTGAAGGCTCTGGGACTTGAACTGTAGATTTTGGACTTGTCAGACTTCATAATTCTGTAAGCCAATGCCTTAAAATAAATTTCTTTATACTAATATCCAGATCCTATTAATTTTATTTCTCTGGTGGATCCTAATACAATTTATATTTAAATGCCATCTATTATTTATACACCACAGTTTTTTCTAAATATTAGTAATTGTTTTGATTGATACATCTAGTAATTTCAGTAAAAAGTAAAATCACAATTCTTGTTACTGCTATTAAAAAATTCCAAGCCTTTATTTAAGATGGATTTTTATATCACTTTTAAAGCTTCAATGTACTATTTGCAATTTATTCCTAATATATTACAATACGGGCAGATAAAGAGGCAATGAAAATTTGGAGTCTTTGACCAAGGTCATAAAGTTAGATTTTGATATTTAAAATTGTACTCTATAATCCCTGACTTCAAGGTCACTGCTCTGTCTACATTACCATATTTTCTCTCAGATTAACTCCAAATGAGAAGTTGTGTGTAAATTATTCTTTGTGTGGAAAAAAAATGTGCTATTTAAACTTCATGGTTTAAAATGTTGCTATTTAACTATTTTTAGAGAATTGCCTGAAGTTACTAGTTTTCTTCATACAATATTTTTTTAAATTAAGTATACCTTTCAAAAACGTTACTCAATCTCTTTAATACTATAGTATTTAGTGTATTAATGAGCACTTTAATTGTGCAATTTTAATTATTTCACCTCTGTTAGTGGCCTTATTACTGATACTCATATTAATGGATTTCTTACTTGTGATTATCTACTTATGGATCTTTTAAACTTAAGAATATATATTTTTAATGTGTCATTAATGCAGAGTTTCTGAGGATTTTGTCTTAAATTATTTAACTGTAGTAGTTAAGCTTTAAATTGGTTTTCAAAGACTTTCTACAGGAGTGACTACATAAGAATTATTTTTTGATGATGTTGCCTACATTTCTTTGGAACCAGTAAAGTGCTAGTTAATCTAGATAGTTTTAGATGCCAATTCTATTCTTCAAGCTGTCAACTTGGATTTACACTAGTATCTTCCAGCCAGTTATTAATACTAAGAGAGCTAAATTAGAGCTGTGTGACTCAGCTTAAACTTCTATTTTTTTCTATGATGAATCCATGTATTTTAATACCAATTCTTCTGGTGTTAAACCCAGTTAAACTTACTATTATTATGACCCATGTTAACCTAGATTTTTGTTAACAGGTTGAAGCTAGTGCATTTAATTTCAAGTTTATTTAGTCATGATACCATCTAGACTTGGAATTTACTGGATATTACTTGCGACAATCCACCCAAACTCTATGGTGCTCAGACTCATGGAACAGGGGCTCAAAGTAAATACATGTTATTTCTGATTAAATTTATCTTGCTAATGAAATGTTTTAGAAGACACTTTTGTAATTCTGTGTGACATTTACAATAGTGAGTACACTGACTATTTATCAAATTTTGTCAGTAGGAATGTAAAGAAAATTGCATTATTTGTCAGCTTATGTTGAAAGGAGTGAAGACACTGAATTCAAGCAAACCTAAAGATAAATGCTAAGGACATTTTAATGGTATGTGTTGCTAATTACTCTTACTTCATTTCCTTTGCCTAAAGGCTCCTCTGGTCAGGTTCCCTTATTTCTCTTACTTGCATGTTAATATATCCCAACCTAATTGTGATTGACTTAAAAAGGTAAGAAAGCTGAAGCATGCCTTGATTAGGTGTTCCTGATTCTGATTACAACTATTTGCAACACCTAATTTGCAACAACTATTCCATTACTCAATGGTGATCACTAAATTCTTGAGTCATTCATTTGAGTTTTTTCTCCCTAGCAATAAGAGCTTCAACACATTCTTAGCATGCTATCCATAGTCCTTTCCAATGTGCTGAGGCAATGTTTGCCTAAACCATTTGGCTTGGCCATTAAAAAAATTACTTTTTTGAGTGATGTAATATAGCAGCACATATATGTGTGACTTGTGATTTTAATAGTTATTAACTTTTAGATATAAACCCTGAAACATGTATGTATGATAAAGAAACAAAATAGCTACATGACAACATAAAAGTTATAAAATTCCAATGGAAAAGCCAGAAACCATCATGTCATTTTAGAATCCCTTCAGTCCCTCAATCCCACAAATAACCATGTTTTTACTGTATTCATATAAAAATAACTAGCAATTATTTAACACTCTGTGATAAACATTTTCCCATGCAATTTATGTGTTTTATTTAAACTTTGACAAATCACTATTGAGTAAGGGACACATTTTTATTACTTATTCTTCAGTAACAAGTTCAGTGATGAATCTGTAGATAGCAGATCAGCCTTAGTTCCATTAAAGGGCTTAGCTTCTCAATGATGCTATGAAGCATCTATATTCTTTCCATTACTCTCCTGCATGTTAGGGAAAATAAACAGGAAGTCTTTCCAGCTTTCTAACCTTACCTTCATTTTCATTTTGCTTTTCTCTATTCAGGCAAGTCATTCCCTTCACCTCGTCTTTTCTTTTAATGACTTCTACATTAATGTACAAGAATCTTTCATTTTTATCTTATTATAGACTGATGAGGGCAATGCCCAATGAATGAACACTTCATCATCCTGAAATCTGAGTAGGTAATATTACGGCATTATGTACTCATTTTGTAAAATAATTATTTGCTTGTTAAACCCTTTCCTAGGTAGTAGAATAACATCAACAGATTTTTAAAGATACTGACTCTCCAGCAAGAATGACACAAAAATAGAAATATAACACAGAAAGTATGCAGTATAGTGGAAGATTTTGAGTGTTCTTGTTAAAATGTTCAAACAGGTTAAAGGAGTTCAGGAGTGTAGGTTTACCATTTTAACTAGAGTGGTCAGGATAGGCTATAAGGTAAAGGTAATATTTGAACAAAAACTTAATAGATATAAAGATGTTGTGAATCTGAAGGAAGAGTTTCTAGGCAGAAGTTAATAGCCAGAACAAAAGATCTAAGGTGGAAGAATACCAGATGTGTTACAATAACAACAAAATCTGGAGCAAAGTGGGCCAGGGCTATGGAGGTAGAACATAGAATGTCAAATAGTTCATGTTTGAAGAACTGAGTTACTAATAATTATGCAGAGAATCAGGTAAAAACAGTGATTCCCCAAAGCAAACTATAATGTATAATCACCCACTTATATACCATAATGAGAATTTTACAATTTACATTGAGGAAAGAAGAGCAATTGCAGAGTTTTGAGCAGATGGATTATATGGTCTAACGCAAGCCTTTAAAATGTCTATTAATAGAAGTAGACTTTCTGTGAATATTCCTTGAATGAATACCGGAGTGCTCTCACAATCCTATTGATAATAAACAAGGCAGGGTGTGCACAAAATATGAATTCAGGAGACCAGATAGGAGTCCAGGAATACAACATAATTCCAGTAAGAAATATAGCTTAGACAATGGTTATAGCAGCAAAGGCAGTGAAATAACGCTCAATTTCTGGATGTATTTTGAGAGCATACTCTGACTCTGAAGGATTTCCTGTTTCTACTGGATAAAACACAACAGAAAAGCAGAATAAAGATTTATACAAATTTTAGATCTGAGGAGAGTTGCTATTATTATAAATGGAATGGGATAAATTATAGATGTATAGACGTAGTAGATCCATTTCATAGGTCCAGAAGTTTCATTTGAAAACTTGATTAGATAGCCAAGTTGGAAATGTTGAGTAGACATTAGAATATTTCACTCAGTTGTTAGATAGAGATAAATACAGAAATTTTAAAAATAATAATTTGGAGTTGGTATTAAGATATTTTATAAAAGTCATGAGACTAAATTCTATTATTAAGGATTGAGTATAGAAAGAGAAGAGGATCAAGTACTGAAAGCTCTCCCACATTTTTATTAATTCAATAATTATTTGTTATATCAGGAAAACCAGAAGAAGAATAGGAAAAAATCAGTTGAGGTACCACAAAGATGGGCAGAAAATTTACAGACTGTGGTGTCTAGAAAGAAATGAAAAAAGAAAAAAAACATCCATTTTATATGAGAACACTGTAGTATTACCTTAGTAGGCAAGATATTTTTCCTTATGCTCTAAATTCTGTTTAACCACTTTTGGGCTGTATGTATGTGTGCGTGTATATGCATATATATGCATATATATATTAATTTGATTTAATTTTTTTAAAAATTATAGAAACAAATTTGCCTAGTATCAATGCTTCAATTACCTCTTCTCATAACTATTTTTTTCATATTGAGAAATATAGAAAGACATACAAATAGAAAGGATGTGAATGATTATTAGGAACAACCATAAGTGTCTACAATATTGTTAGACACATTATACACGTGAGAAAATGAGAGTTAAATGCTTAGTCAGCTTCCCAGAATCTTACTGGTATAAATAGTGAATTTGAATTCAAATCAAGCAGTCTGATTTCAAAGTCCAAACTTTTTTTCCCAATCAAACCATTTTCCCAAATATCTTCTATTGAAATAAATAACTTCTCTCTCTTCATACAGATTCTTACCTTAATTCAGGAATTCCATATTTCTCAGGTATATTTTGTAAATTACTACTAGATTTGTCTTCAGTCCTCCATAATGTCATCTTTCCAATTTCTTCATCTAAATTACTTGCAAGGATATCTTTCTATAATATGTTTACAGACCTACACTGCTTCTATTTAAATTTCTCTTTTTGTGCAGAATAAAGTACAAATATATTTAGAGGGTATATATGCCCCTTTGGCTGCAGCTAAATCTTCATGTCATGTTTGTAATCCATTAACCAATTTTTATTTTATGCCTCACTAAACCATTTGTAGTTCCTCATACATATATAATACTGGCATTTATGTCTATGTTTTCCATTCCCTCACCTGGTATGTACTTTTTCTGAAATAACTAAAATATATTCCTCAAGAATAAACATTGCTAAATTTCTTCTGAAGTCCCTTCTTGATGCCAAGACTGCCTCAATCCAGTTACTTCTTATGTGCATATGTATTTCATATGGTTGTGTATTATTTTTATTGTTGTTTTATGTCTGTTTTTTTAAAAACGGATTACAAATTTCTAAAGGCCTTAACTTCTCTGTTTCTATAGCACAGTACATATTATTTATTAACTGAAAAATTAGTTGAAAGGCTAGAAACCATCAGGTGCAAACCATAAAGCAGCATGATTTCTCTATTCAATCCCAACTTCTATATTTTCTATTGTCAAAGGACAATGCATCTATACAAAAAAACTAAAAACAAACAAATAAGAAAAAACACGCAGAGATCAGCTTAGGGACAGGAAGTGGAAACAAAGAAACAAGTATGGATAAAGAACAATACTGAACTATAAAGTGTAAAGCAGAACTAATTTAAAAAGGAAATAAAAGCTAAAATTCTTGTGCTGTAGAAGTATGAGAGCAGTCTGGTACACCCAAACAGAGCTAAGAAGTTTATTCTAAGTGTCTGGCAATAAGAGTTCACTTATCTATCTAGCAGATCTTTCGTCACTGCCAGTAACGAATATTAAATCAGTAAAGCTGTGAAAACTGTAATTTAGTTCATTGCTCCATTTTCCAGAACCACATATAAATAACATTTCTATTTATTTCCATTTAAAATACAATAAAGTAAATTGAGACAGATTATTTTTGAAATTATACAAACTACATAACTTGTAAATACAAAATTAAAAATTATAGAAAAATATAACTCACCAAAGCCTAATTACTGACATTAAGTTTACTTGGGCATGACTTTTCATACTGGGATTCTAGGCAGCCACATAGATTATGCATATTTTTACTCATATTAATGAAGAACCTGAAATTCCTCCTATAAAGCTCCCATTTTATACATTAAAATTACAGGAAAATATTTGAGATGCTTACATACAAACAGACTTTGTGCAGCTTTCTATGTGTACTTTTTTTATTTTTAATTTTAATTTTTAATTTTTGTGGGAGCATAGTAGGTTTATGTATTTACGGATTATATGAGATATGTTAATCCAGGTATATATGTTTAACAATCATATCATGTAAAATAGGGTATCCACCACCTCAAACATTTATTCTTTGTGTTACATATAATCCAATTACACTCTATTAGTTATTTTAAAATATATAATTAAATTTTTTTAACTATAGTCACCTGTTGTGCTAGCAAATACTAGGTCTTATTTATTCTGTCTAAATATTTTTGTACCCATTTATCACTTCCACTATCTCTCACCCCCCTGCATCATTCATAGCCTCTAGTAACCATCCTTCTTCTCTGTTTCTCCATGGGCTCAATTACTTAAATTTTTAGTTTCCAAAAATAAGTAAGAACTTGTGAAGTTTGTCTTTCTGTGCCTGGCTTATTTCACTTAACATAATGACTTCCAGTTCCATCCACGTTGTTACAAATGACAGAATCTCATTCTTTTTTAAAATTAAAAGATTTTTGAAAAGATGAATAGTTTACACACCAGTTACTGTGTTAAAATATTCTGTGTTTTTCTGTGTACTTACTACTACCAGTGAATTTTGTACCTTCAAATGATTTCTTATTGTTCATTATCATCCTTTGCTTTCTTATGGAAGTACTCCCTTTAGCATTTCTTGTAGGACAGGCCTGGTGAGGAAATCCCTCAGCTTTTGTTTGTCTGGGAAAGTCTTTATTTCTCCCTCATATTTGAAGGATACTATTGCTGGATATACTATTTTAAGGTAAAGGTTTTTTTTTTTTTCCTACAACAATTTAAATATATCATGCTACTCTTTCTTAGCCTATGAGGTCTGCAGTCAGACATATTGGAGCTCCTTCGTATGTTATTTGTTTTGTTTATCTTGCTGCTTTTAGGACTGTTACTTTGACCTTTGGGAGGCAGTCTTGAGGTAGTCTTCTTTGGGTTAAATCTGCTGGGTGTTCTATAACCTTCTTGTATTTGGATCTGTAAGTTTGGGAAGTTCTCTTTTATTATTATTTTGAATAAACTTTTTGTCTGTCTCTTTCTCTACCTCCTCTTTAAGGCCAAAAACTTAGATTTGCTCTTTTGAGGCTATTTTCTAGATCCCGTAGGTGTGTTTCATTGTTTTTCATTCATTTTTTTCCTTTTTCTCCTCCTACTGTCTATTTTCTTTCTTTTTTTTTTTTTTTGAGATTGAGTCTCACTCTGTCGCCCAGGCTAGAGTGCAGTGGCGTGATTTTGGCTCACTGCAACCTCTGTCTCCTGGGTTTAAGCGATTCTCCTGCCTCAGCCCCCTGAGTAGCTGGGACTACAGGCATGCACCTGTATGTATTTTTAGTAGAGATGGAGTTTCACCATGTTGGTCAGGCTGGTCTCGAACTCCTGACCTCATGATCCGCCCACCTGGGACTCCCAAAGTGCGGGGATTACAGGCGTGAGCTAATCTGTCTTCAAGCTCACCAAGTCTTTCTTCTGCTTGATCTATTAAGCTATTTTAAGACTCTGATGCATTTTTCACCTCCAGAACTTCTGCTTGATTCTTTTAAATTATTTTAGTCTCTTTGTTAAATTTTACCAATAGAATTCTGAGTTCCTTCTCTGTGTTATTTTGAATTTCTTTGAGTTTCTTCAACACAGCTATTTTGAATACTGTGTCTGAAAGGTCACATATCTCTATTTCTCTAGGATTGGTCCCTGGTGCCTTATTGCATTCATTTGGTAAGGTCATGTTTTCCTCAATGGTCTTGATGCTTCTGGATGTTCTTCAGTGTCTAGGCATTGAAGAGGTAGGTATTTATTGTAGTCTTTGCAGTCTCAGCTTGTCTGTAATTGTCTTTCTTGAGAGGGTTTTCTAAGTATTCAATAGGACTTGGGTGTTTTGATCTAAGCTGTATCTGCATTAGGGGCACTCCAAGCCCAGTAATGCTGTGGTTTTTGCAGCATCATGGAGATACTGCCTTTATGGTCTTGAATAAGATCCATAAGAATTTCCTGGATTACTAGGCAGAGATTCTTGTTCTTTTCCCTTTCTTTCTCCAAAACAGAGTGTCTCTCTTGCTCTCTGGTCTGAGCTGCCTGAAGCTGGGGTTAGGCTGGGGTGGCACAAGCATCCCTGTGGCCACCAGCACTGGAACTGTGCTAGGTCAGACCTAAATCCAACAAAGGACTGTGTCTCACCCAATGCCTGCTATAACCACTACCTGGGTATGGGCTGTATGTACTCAAGTCCCTGGAGCTCTCCAGCAGCACATGGTGAAGCCAGCCAGTCTTATGTCCTTCCCTTCAGGGAGGTGAGTTCCCCTAGGCCCTGGGAGGGTCCAGAGATGTCCTCTTGGAACAAGGGACTAGAGTCCAAAACCTCGGAAGTCTATCTGGTGGTCTACTGTATTGCGGCTGAGCTGGCATTCAAACTTCGAGAAGTAGTTTTTCCTCTCTTTCCTCCCCTTTCCAGACAAAAGAGGCTCCCATTGTGGCCACCACCACAGGCCTATGAAGCAATACTGACAGGCTACCACTGATGTTTCCTTAAGGTTCAAGGGCTTCTCAGTCAGCTGTGGTGAATGCTGCTTGGCCTGGGACATACCCTTTAGGGCATTGGGCTCCGCCTCTGGATCAGGGTAGGTCTCAAAATGCTGTCCAAGATCCTAGGCCTGGAATTGGGGATCCTAAGAATCCACTTGGTGCTCTGCTCCCCGTGGTTGAGCTGGTACTAAAAGTGCAAAACAAAGTTCCCTTTGTTTTTCCCTCTGCTTTTCTCAAGTAGGAGGAGTCTCTCCCCTAGCCACCAGAACATGGAATATGTATGGTGAGTCTCACCTGAAGTCAGCAAGTCTCAGAGTCTCACCCGAGGCCCATGGTATATTTCCTGGGTATCACTGCTTGTTATTGAGGTCCCAAGGGCTTTTTAGTCAGCAGATGATGTGCCCTGCCAGGACTGAATCCTTCCCTTCAAGGCAGAAGAGTTCCCTCCTGGCCCAGCGTGTGTCTAAAAGTTTCATCCGGGAGATAGGACCTGGATATGGGGCCTCACAACTCTGACTAGTGCCCTATCCTACTGTGTGTGATCTGGAATCCAACATGCAAAACAAAGTCTTCTTTAGTCTCCTTTTTTCTCTCCTCAAGCACAAGGAAGGAATCTCTTTTGCAACCGCAAGCTGTACAGCCTAGAGCTGGGATAAGTGTGGCACAAGTACTCCCTTAGCCTCCACAATTGGAGTCTCAGTAGGTTCTGTGTCACCTCAGTTCACTAGCTCTGAGCCCAGTTCAGCACTAGGACTTGCCTAGGATTCGCCTAGGAATTGCAGACTAGTTGCCCCAAGACCCACCACATGTACGTCCATTTTATTGAGGGACCCACAGCACTTTTGCCAATGGTGGCGAGGCTTGCCAGAACTCAAGTTTCGATGTCTGGGATGGGTAGTTTTCTTGTGGCTAGGGCTTGTTCAAATTCTCCCTCCACGGGCAGGCACTAGCCAAGTTCAGACTGGTTTTGCTTTCTATTGGGACAGGGCAACTCCTGAGTTCAATGCAATGTCTTGCAATTGCTGTACTCTTTCTTCCCCAAGGGCACGGATCTCTGTACCATGTGGACACTGCTAGGGAATGGGGCAAGAGTGGCCCTGGGAATTCGAAACTGTCTCCTACCCTCTTCAGTGCCTGTTTCTGCAGAATGAAGTTAAAACCAGGTACTGTGAGTGCTCACCTGATTTTTGGTTCTGATGACTGTGCTTTTTTGGAGTAGATAGTTGTTAAACTGGTGTCCCTGCAGAAAGGACTGTTGTTGGGGCCTTGTATTTGGCCACCTTGCTCTGCCCCTCCTGTCTGCGTATGATCGCTCCTCTTTCAATTTTCATGAAATCATCTTCTTCCCAATTGATTTTCTGACCTCTTTTTCTCTATTCTTCCCCTAATTTGTTGAGTTTTTCAGGGACACCACACATGAATTATTGCATAAAACTAATTTAAATAAACTTGTCAGACAGTTGTCAAGCTTTTCCTTCAATGATGCAATGTTATTTGCTATTTTGTGCCTCCACAAAAGTTTTTATATTATATTGCAATAAACTCTTTAATTATCTGCTTTTCAACTAGTCTATATACTCCATTTGAAAAAAACTAATTTATTTTAAAATATTTCATATTTTACATTGTACCATAAGACATTAAAATAATAAAATTATTAAACATATATGAATTAATTATCTGTGTACTACATATATTTTCCTAAAAACTTTGCTTTTTACTCTGTTATGGTATGCATTTGATAAGTTGCTATTTGAATTTAATTTCAATTATATCTGGTCACATGTAATTCAATACATTATTAATAAACGTCCATTATATGCAAAGCACAGTATTGGATTCCAATATACAAATGACATTAGAGTATATATATCTATATATATATATATGGAAAATCATCATGCCCAACAATGGTAATGGCAAAATCTCAAATTTTACCACTGTAACACTTTTGTATTCTAATCATTAGCCAAAACCTAGCCAAAACAAGCTGACCTGTTCTGGGTATACCAACACTTAGTAATTAAATTGTTTAACTAAGTTGTATGAACAAGTAAAGTATGGGAGGTAGAGTCAGGCAATGTTTTAAGTTGATTTTTTAGGAATTCATAACACAGCTCAATAATATCATATACCTGCAGATGGTAGAGGGCTTGAAATTACCAGTAAAATTTCTTGAATACTGGCCCATTGTTGCACAGCATTTGTAACAAAAGGCACAGACTTGTGAGACTGTGGATGGTCTGGAAAGCCAGAAACATACCACACATTAAGTTCAATGGTCACAATTGTGTGGTGTAAGTTGGCTGATTATTTTGGTATACAAACACCTTAAAGTAAAAGAATGCCAACAGAAATTAGTATTGAAAGTTCTGGGAGTGCTTCAGATGTCAAGGGTGCAATCTATCTTCAAAGAACAGGCAGGATAAAAGTCCCATAAAATGTGACTTTTTCTACCATGGGCCCAAGAAGGTCACATTTTGGCAGGAATCACAAGTGTGCAATGCATTGGTGTCTTCCGCATCAGAAACATATAGCTATTTATTTTGTGCCCAGCCTATGATGACAAATGCATTGCGTATCTGATGCAATTATGGATCCAGGTTTTAAGGGTACTGATCTGGTCAGTTCAGGTTTGAACAACAACTTTATTAGAGTAATTTCAGTACAACTTATTGAGAACTGGCTCTTACTGTGGACATCTGCATTCATTTTAATTGGCCACGAAAATTTGTGTTCATAGTTCTTAAAACAGCTCTGGCCTGGCTAAACCAGTGACCTTATGCTATTTGGCAAGCAAACCAGACATATCTCCCATGACTTCTGAACTCCTTCCAAGTTTGTTCTTCCTTGGATACTGTCCTCATCCCTAGGGTAACATATATAGCTTCCTGTTATATATTATATGTTACTATTTTATCATAATTAAGGATACTTCATAAATTTCCCTTGTTTAACCTTAAAAAACGATAAGAAGGGAGAAGAAAGCAAAATAAAAGAAAATAAGTCAGAGGAATTAGATATTCCAAGATGCCTCCCCTGTCTCAGAACCTTGGACACAGAAACCTTGTTTCTAATGTGAAATGTCATGAGATTATTCATGTCTAACATGCTTGCTTTTGAAAAAAGGACAAATGTGAATAATATCTACTGAGAGCTGCAGGTTGGCAAAGATGGGTCACATTAGACATTTCATGGAAGGCTGACTAGAATGAAGTGATCATACTTAAAATTTGGCCAGCCTCTATATTTTAGAGTTTGAGGAATATTTCAACACAGAGAGGTCATTCATCATGGAGGCATAAGGAGAGTGATGCCAGAACACCATCCTAAATATTGTACTTTCTCATTCTGTAATCTGGTGTTATCACTTAATTAGGAATGTGGCAAATGATTAATAAATCTTTAAGTGTTGAATTGAAACTTTTGTTTCATTTTCCATGAAATTGTGAAGTGAGAATGACTTATGTGATATTTAATATCATGAACAATTATGATCCTATTTCCCAGATTCAGGGTTATCTAGTACCAAAGAGAAGAGAAGCCTTATCCTGAGAACAAATGCAATTAAACTTTCTTCTGACATATAGGTGAAGAAATTCTTTGGACTTTTATTTCTGCTTTTAGGTGGGATAAAAAGAAAAATAAACTAGGTGAACAAGTGAGAATGAGGGGATAAAATAGAAATATAAAACTAACCATTTATTATTTATTTTAACTTTGATCAAAATAATCTGTATTTTAACCTCTCTATTCGTCTTTCAATTTTGTCTCTGTTTTTAATATTTAATTTTGTATTATTTTGATTGATATGATTTGGGCTGTGTTCCCACACACATAGGGGTAGTTACCCCCATGCTGCTGTTCTCATGATAGTGAGTGAGTTCTCACAAGATCTGATGGTTTTATAAGGGGCTTTTCCTCCTTTTCTGGGTACTTCTCTTGGCTGCCATCATGTGTTGAAGGACATGTTGCTTCCCCTTCCACCATGATTGTAAGTTTCTTGAGGCCTCCCTAGCCATGCTGAACTGTGAGTCAATTAAACCTCTTTCTTTGATAAACTACCCAGTCTCAGGTATGTCTTTATTAGCAGTGTGAGAATGGACGAATGCAATGATTTTTCATTATGACTGTGTTGGTTTCTATTCTTTCTTTGTTCTCTTTAATTTTTTCTGGTCTCCTTTACATGGCTCTATTATGTCATCTTCTTTGGTTACTGTCTCTGTTTTTTATTGAATAGGCTGATTCTTCTACATTAGATTTTATTCCATTGTGTTTTCTCCACCATGAGTTTTTCCCTTTTGGAATCCCTTGTCCTGTGGGTTGTGAGATTTTTCCATTTGCTTCTGCTGGGGTCCTTGGGATTTTATTTCACTGGAACTCACTTCTTGTCTCAGATTTCCTCAGTTCACCACATAAATGAGGTTTGAGTTCCCCTTCTGCATATCAGGGTATGAATGAGATGCTCTGCATAACTTTCTCACTCCACTCTAGACTCCAGATAAATGTCATATCTCATTACCCTTTCTTGGGTGGGTTCAGGGTTTTCTAGTTCATTTTAAAAAATAATGGATAAGATTCCTTTGGAATTCCTGACCCTCTCCTGTGAACTCAGTTTCTGCTTCTTGCCTTAGGCTAACTTAACCTTATGGATACAAAAACGTCAACCAATTACCTAATCCAACACGTTGTAAGTCACCGCATTCACCACTACTGCTTCTCACACAAGATTTTGGTAATACCTTTAGGTGCTTTTTTGTATATGCATATTTTATTATTTTTCTTTCTTTTGATAGCACATACACTTGAAAATAATTGGGGTTTAATTACTTCCATCATTTATTATGTTTGTAGCTGGAGTTGGACTATTCTGGATTAACACTTTCTGCCAAACAACTTGGAATGTCCAATCTTACGTTTCACTAAACACACACAATCTTGTACAACTTATTTTTCCAAACCTTTACTAAAAATAATCATTTGATAAAGCGAAAGGTATGGTAGCATTTCTGAAATTAATGAAAGATAACTTCAAACTAAAAAATGAGAAGTATTATGTAAAATCCAAATTGTTTATTTCAAATCAAATTTAACTCTGGAATTCATACATAATTCTCTATCACCAACCCATTTTAGTAAGAAAGTTAAGGGGTCAAGGTTTTAGGATATAAACTAGGTACCCTAGTAGAGTACAGCTTTTGGGCAGATGAATATAATTTAATTCTCACGTAAATTTTTAGAATTAGGACTTTTCCTTCCCCAAAAGGAGAAAAAAAGGGAGTAAAGATTGTTGTAGTAGAATAAATGGAATAAAAGCTTACATATAAGGAAATGGGGAAGAAAATAATACAAATTCTAGGTTACACAATGGAGTCTCTTCTGTCAGTTTACTCTCTCATGGAGACTAATCCAAAATCTAAAGGAGCATTCTATGACTTTAGCCATGCCCTGGATGAAAAGGAAAATAATGCAGAGGTATTACGGAGCGTACAAAGAATGAAGAGAAACACAGATGTACTAACTGCTTCTGCCCACCAGTCCTTCTCACTAGGATAAGAGAGTAGAAAGTATTTTAACAATGGGAAAATAACACCACCAGTGCTCACTGAAATGATTTGAAAAAAGGATAAAAATAGTTTTGTAAACATGGAAAATAATAAAATAAAAATGATGCCAATATTTTGGAGTGAAACAGATATCCTAAATGGGTTTCCATCAACTAAAAATAGGCTTAAATAAAAAATTAGACAATAAAAAAGAAAACGAGCAAGTTAAAAAGAAAACTTATTTTTATCTCCCTTAAGAGAAAGTACTTAGACTACAAATGCTTTATGTCAACGAAATTAGAGAATATGACTCTGCTCACAAGGTGTTAAAAGGCTAATACATTTTCAATGTCCATTGATTTATGCTACCTTTTTGATGCCATTTGTCATTTTAGTTTTAGGATATTTCCTATAGGAAAATTATGTAGAAATAATGAGAATCTACAGCTAGTTTCTGTATATTATTGGGAAAGAAGGCAGAAAAATAAGAAACCAAGAGTAAAACTTGTATGTTCTGATCATCTCTCTAGAGACAGAAGCCTGAAAAGAGATTTATTTTGTTTATTTTTTAGTAAGAAAGATAAGATTGCAGAGGATAAGAGGCGTTGCTTATATTCACACTTCAGAATAATAGTATGTTTGTCTAATTTGATGGTTCAAATGTATTTGTTGTATGTTTTATTCTTTTCCCTATGCTACAGGGAGGAGTGCAAATGAGGAAAAACAATTATATGTAAAAAAGATGTTCCATATACTCTGTACATTTGGGGATAATGTAAATAAATTGTTATGTAAAATATATCGAAATAAAGCAAGAAGACAATGCAATCATCTTAAAATTTATCTGGTAAATCTAAAGAATGCATTTGAAAACAATAATCACTGAAAATTAATGGATAACTTTAGACAAAAAAGAAACACACTTACCAGAGTGAAAATCGTTGTTTGTGACATAAAATAGAGATATAAAAATACTTAAAACAAAATATCAAATTTACCGCTACTGAATATAGCATAACAAAATCCTGATACATTCTAACAATATTTATTTACTAGCAACAATCTTCTCACTAAAATGACATTGAAACTGGAATTCTTTCAAATAGTAATCAATGATTCAAATCTTACAGAAACTCTTCCAGAGAAAGAATTGGGGAAAAATTTAGCCAATTGAATCTATGAAGCTAGTATAATCTAGAAAATAAATTCAGACAAAGATAGAGCAAGAAAAGATGAATCCCACTTGCAAACAGAAATGTAAATTTCTCAACAAAATATTCACAAAATATAAAAATATACCATAATCAGCATGACTATGTCTCAAAATTACAATCATATTGCAACATTAGAAAAAAATCTATGAATATCATTTTTCATTTAAGCGAATGAAATAAAAATAAGGTCATAACAGATGCAGTAACAGCCTTTGATCAAATTCAGCTTTGAAGCGAAATAAAACCCCTGCCGCTTCTAATTAGCATAGTATATGCAATCTGGTCCTACCCTCACTACCCTCTTCCAATGGTCTCTTCCTCTATTTTTAATCCAATACCACATTGTTTATGAATGTGGCTTTGTCGTATATCTTAATACATAGTAGGGAAGACCCTCTGTATAACTTTTCTTAAAGTTTACTTGGCTCAAGAAGAGATGACATCTCTTCTCCATATAAATTTTATCATAACCTATTCAAGTTCCTCAAAAGTTCAACAAATATCTTGTACAGTATATGGTGATTATAGTTAGTGATAATACATTGTTTTCTTGAAAAATGCTAAGAGAATTGATGTTAAGTGTTCTTGCCACAAAAATGATAACTATGTGAGGTAATATATGTGCAAATTAGCTCATTTGCAAAATGCATTTATACTTCAAAATATGCTGTACACAATAACTACATACAATTTTAGCTGTCAATTTAAAAGAAATAAATGAAATTTTTTAAAAAGTTGAAGTCAAATATTTATGGATTGAAATTACTCATAAATTAATTTGTGGGGAAGTGCCTTAATAGAATTTTGTCATCCTATTTCAAGACCTTAGAATGTTTATTTAGATAAGCATTTTGTTATTTATTTTTTTCATTTAAGATGCAATGGATATATTTGTTAGAAATAATTGATTTTTAGATTAAAATTTTTATTGCTATCATGAACAGTATATTAATTTTTTATATTTCCTTATTGTTGCAAAGGCATTTTAGTCTTTTTCTATATGTTTTCAGTATAGCTACATTTATTAAATCTTAGTAGTTTTGATAGCTTATCATTTAGTTTCAGCTTATTTGATTCTTAATTTCAGCACTGTTTCATCTCCTTATACTGAATCTTTCCATTCATTTTTATTTTTCATTTGTAGCAGAACCAATGAAATTAGATAAGCGAATGACTCTTAAACCCGATCATTTTTTTTCTTTTCTTTTCTTTTTTTTCCTCTCATGTTCTTACCATGAGAGGTTTGATCTACCTTCTTAACAAGTTTAAGTGTAAACATAGCAGTACAATGCACAACCTTGATCTAGTCTATTTACAGTAAAGGTGGCATGATGAAAAGATGATCCTGTTCACTTAACTAAATGCAACTTTGGTATCCTAAACAAAATAAAAAGTCATTTTTAATGAATAAGTGACTTATATAGCCCTGCAAGTTCTTATAGAAACACCAACAAATTTGCCCTCTTGAAATTTCTATTAGAATTGAGAGATTTGGGCCATTCAGATATCCACAACTCATATATTTTTTGATATGGCCTTACCATGTGCCAGTCACTATGTTAGGTGACAGAGAAGTGATCAATGATCAAATAGTAAATGAAGTTTCCACAACTATAAACTTACAGTACTGAGGAGCAGAGATTACTGACAGAATATTCATGCAAAGAAATACAAAATTATGACTGTTGCAGAAGGAAAACATATTGTATAAGAATATAAAATATTTTACACTGATTTGAATGGCATACAACATTATCTGTTATTATCCAATATTGAATATTTATTTGACCTAAAGTTACGCTTAATCATTTAAGTATTAAATAACTAATAAATAAAAGACAAGCGGTATCAGTCAGTATTCTTGAAAGTTTTTTTAGTAGACAAAATATTCTTCATAAGAAGAACCGTTTGATAATATAATATATCAACCAAATAGCCATTGAGAGGGACTGTTAAAAATGGAATATTTCTGATTTGCTTTTTATAAAACAAAGAACATAGTTGTTGTTTTTGAATAAACTAAATATTTAAATTTTTGGAAAATGGTAGGCAAGAATGTGGACACTTACCAGTGGCTATTGGGCAAATATCAAGTTGCTTGTGTGTTGACTGTGCCATCCCACCTTGCAGTGACAAAGAAGCTCCATGCTTGGATGGTAGCATAAAGTTGTCCTGGTGGAACAGTGTACACAGTGCATAACAAAAACCAGCCAGATATTTTCAAAAGGGGGATATAGAAATCAAAGATATTTTCATCACAATTATTTTTCTTATGTGTTTTTTTTATTAAAATTCAGATTCAGAGAGTACATGTGTGTGTTTGCTGCATGGGTATATTGCAAAATGATAAGGATTG
The DNA here is from genome assembly GCF_000001405.40 of Homo sapiens. Lineage (NCBI taxonomy): Eukaryota > Metazoa > Chordata > Mammalia > Primates > Hominidae > Homo > Homo sapiens. The sequence continues at coordinate 116,249,948 of NC_000004.12, forward strand.
GGTTTCTAGTATACCTGCCACCCAAATGTTGAACACTGTGTACAATAGCTAATCTTTCAAACCTTACTCCCCTCTTTTCCTTTCTCCCTCCCCTGTTTTGAAATCCCTAGGGTCTACTATTATTTCCATCTTTATGTTCATTTGTTTAGATCCCACTGATAAATGAAAACATGCAATATTTGATTTTCTGCTTCTGAGTTAGTTCACTTAGAATAAAAGCCTCCAGCTTCCTCTGCATTGCTCAAAAGGACTTGATGTCATGTATTTTCATGGCTACATAGTATTCCATGGTGTATATATACTTTATATAGTTTTTTAGTCAGAAATTTTTTTTTTATTTATGGAAGAAGACATGCATTTCCAAGTTATTAAATATACACTATTGGACTCAAGAGTAGCATTCCTAGAAGCTGTAGCTACAAATACTTCAAGAATGTGCTGTTAAAACCAAGGTATAAAAAAATCAAGCCAGTAAAATTTTCCAATCAAGTTGAAGTATTATGCCTAACTCTGTAAAGTTGTCATCATTAACTAGACATATTTGTTTTATGACTACTCTTGAATACTATGATATATAATCTAACTCTGAAGCCTAGTTAGATAAGAAGGGTGTTCAGTTTAACATATTTCTGGGAAAATACAGAAAGCATATATGAAAATTTAGGCTTGTGACATTAGACTTTCTTTTGAAATATAATAATAATAATCTATAGTAAGAGGTACAATTACATGTACTTATAAATGAATTTTATAAATTTTTAAAATTATACTATTGCACATTAAATATTTCAAAATAGAGTTGTCACTGTTTTATTAAAATGCAGTCTTTTATATTCAGTATGAATCTAGAAAAAATGTTATTTAAAGTCATAATTATTAATTATCCCATTTTCTGCTCCTTTACAGTATTTGAATAATTAGCCAGCCATCACAGTAACTTAGTATCCTTGATTAGTAAAAAATCCCTGATTAAAAGCTACATTGCTTTTAATGTAAATTGTTGTTACAAAATCAATGCCTCTTACTTCTAATGAAATGAGTTAATGGATTTCAGCATGGGAAAAAACTTGAAATATATTACATACAAACTATTCAGATTCTCATTTAAATAATGGATTATCTGATTAGCAATGACCAGAGAAAACCTATCAAGAAGACTGCCTAGAAAGTAAACCTGACATAATAAAATTGCTCAACTTCCGTCACCTTCCAGCTCATGATTGGTAGGTAAAAATACAGTTAGGCAGAACTCTGATGAAATTAGAAATCATTTTAATTAACTTCTTGGTGAAGGTTTGGTTCTAATCTTTAAAGTTAAGATATTAGGATAATCAAGGAATTCACAAACTCTCATATTTACTGTTCTTCATTTGACTTTGGAATTTAATTATTAAATTTATCTGATGATTTAGTGAATAATGCTAATGATATTGATAAATAATTGAAGTGATTTTTGTGTCTGACTATTTTTAATCTCAAGAGTTAGGGATAGGGCCAAATTATTTCTAGAAATCATTGCAGCTTAAACATTATATAATTCTCTGACAATGTGAGAATATTAATTTTCACCTTTTGCTTCCCAGGAGAACAACAGAACATGAAAAAATTAGAAAATTATTTCTAAAAAACTTATACTGATGATAAAATCAATTGATTTATACCATTATTTTCTTAAGGTTAATTTCAGGTATATGATACACATAAACATTAAAATGAAAAAACAAGCATGTAAAGCAAGTAAAAATTTTAAATCAAAATAAATCATGTAATACAGATATAATTCTTAAATGTATTTAGCACATTTTAATGTTTCCAGTGTTTTGTCTCCAAAATATTTCACCATATTAAATTAAATTATCCTCAATATAATCTGTTATAAATTGTATTTTAGGAAGAAAGATTCTTAATTCATCCAAGTATTATTACTAAAACATATTAGGATTTAATATAATTAAATTTTAACGTATCTTTTTTTATTATACTTTAACTTTTAGGGTACATGTGCACAACGTGTAGGTTAGTTACATATGTATACATGTGCCATGTTGGTGTGCTGCACCCGTTAACTCGTCATTTAACATTAGGTATATCTCCTAATGCTATCCCTCCCCCCTCCCCCCACCCCACAACAGTCCCCAGAGTGTGATGTTCCCCTTCCTGTGTCCATGTGTTCTCATTGTTCAATTCCCACCTATGAGTGAGAACATGCGGTGTTTGGTTTTTTGTCCTAGCCATAGTATGCTGAGAATGATGGTTTCCAGCTTCATCCATGTCCCTACAAAGGACATGAACTCATCATTTTTTATGGCTGCATAGTATTCCATGGTGCATATGTGCCACATTTTCTTAATCCAGTCTATCATTGTTGGACATTTGGGTTGGTTCCAAGTATTTGCTATTGTGAATAGTGCCACAATAAACATATGTGTGCATGTGTCTTTATAGCAGCATGATTTATAATCCTTTGGGTATATACCCAGTAACAAGATTGCTGGGTCAAATGGTATTTCTAGTTCTAGATCCCTGAGGAATCGCCACACTAACTTGCACAATGGTTGAACTAGTTTACAGTCCCACCAACAATGTAAAAATGTTCCTATTTCTCCACATCCTCTCCAGCACCTGTTGTTTCCTGACTTTTTAATGATCGCCATTCTAACTGGTGTGAGATGGTATCTCATTGTGGTTTTGATTTGCATTTCTCTGATGGCCAGTGATGATAAGCATTTTTTCATGTGTCTGTTGGCTGCATAAATGTCTTCTTTTGAGAAGTGTCTGTTCATATCCTTTGCCCACTTTTTGATGGGGTTGTTTTTTTCTTGTAAATTTGTTTGAGTTCATTGTTGATTCTGGATATTAGCCCTTTGTCAGATGAGTAGATTGCAAAAATTTTCTCCCATTCTGTAGGTTGCCTGTTCACTCTGATAGTAGTTTCTTTTGCTGTGCAGAAGCTCTTTAGTTTAATTAGATCCCATTTGTCAATTTTGGCTTTTGTTGCCATTGCTTTTGGTGTTTTAGACATGAAGTCCTTGCCCATGCCTATGTCCTGAACGGTATTGCCTAGGTTTTCTTCTAGGGTTTTTATGGTTTTAGGCCTAACATTTAAGTCTTTAATCCATCTTGAATTGATTTTTGTATAAGGTGTAAGGAAGGGATCCAGCTTCAGCTTTCTATACATGGCTAGCCAGTTTTCCCAGCACCATTTATTAAATAAGGAATCCTTTCTCCATTTCTTGTTTTTGTCAAGTTTGTCAAAGATCAGACTGTTGTGGGTATGCAGCATTATTTCTGAGGGCTCTGTTCTGTTCCATTGGTCTATATCTCTGTTTCGGTACCAGTACCATGCTGTTTTGGTTACTGTAGCCTTGTAATATTGTTTGAAGTCAGGTAGCGTGATGTCTCCAGCTTTGTTCTTTTGGCTTAGGATTGACGTGGCAATGCAGGCTCTTTTTTGGTTCCATATGAACTTTAAAGGAGTTTTTTCCAATTCTGTGAAGAAAGTCATTGGTAGCTTGATGGGGATGGCATTGAATCTACAAATTACCTTGGGCAGTACTGCCATTTTCACGATATTGATTCTTCCTACCCATGAGCATGGAATGTTGTTCCATTTGTTTGTATCCTCTTTTATTTCATTGAGCAGTGGTTTGTAGTTCTCCTTGAAGAGGTCATTTGCATCCCTTGTAAGTTGGATTCCTAGGTATTTTATTCTCTTTGAAGCAATTGTGAATGGGACTTCACTCATGATTTGGCTCTCTGTTTGTCTTTTATTGGTGTATAAGAATGCTTGTGATTTTTGCACATTGATTTTGTATCCTGAAACTTTGCTGAAGTTGCCTATCAGCTTAAGGAGCTTTTGGGCTGAGACAATGGGGTTTTCTAGATATACAATCATCTCATCTGCAAACAGGGACAATTTGACTTCCTCTTTTCCTAATTGAATACCCTTTATTTCCTTCTCCTGCCTAATTGCCCTGGCCAGAACTTCCAACACTATGTTGAATAGGAGTGGTGAGAGAGGGCATCCCTGTCTTGTGCCAGTTTTCAAAGGGAATGCTTCCAGTTTTTGCCCATTCAGTATGATATTGGCTGTGGGTCTGTCATAGATAGCTCTTATTATTTTGAGATACGTCTCATCAATACCTAATTTATTGGGAGTTTTTAGCATGAAGGGTTGCTAAATTTTGTCAAAGGCCTTTTCTGCATCTATTGAGATAATCGTATGGTTTTTGTTGTTGCTTCTGTTTATATGCTGGATTACATTTACTGATTTGTGTATGTTGAACCAGCCTTGCATCCCAGAGATGAATCCCACTTGATCATGGTGGATAAGCTTTTTGATGTGCTGCTGCATTCAGTTTGCCAGTATTTTATTGAGGATTTTTGCATCAATGTTCATCAAGGATATTGGTCTAAAATTCTCTTTTTCGGTTGTGTCTCTGCCTGGCTTTGGTATCAGGATGATGCTGGCCTCACAAAATGAGTTAGGGAGGATTCCCTCTTTTTCTATTGATTGGAATAGTTTCAGAAGGAATGGTACTGGCTCCTCCTGGTACCTCTGGTAGAATTCAGCTGTGAATCCATCTAGTCCTGGACTTTTTTGGTTGGTAAGCTATTAATTATTGCCTCAACTTCAGAGCCTGTTATTGGTCTATTCAGACATTCAGCTTCTTTCTGGTTTAGCCTTGGAAGGGTGTATGTGTCCAGGAATTTATCCATTTCTTCTAGATTTGCTAGTTTATTTGCATAGAGGTGTTTATAGTATTCTCTGATGGTAGTTTGTATTTCTGTGGGATTGGTGATGATATCTCCTTTATCATTTTTTATTGCATCTATTTGATTCTTCTCTTTTCTTCTTTATTAGTCTTGCTAGCGGTCTATCAATTTTGTTGATCTTTTCCAAAAACCAGCTCCTGGATTCATTGATTTTTTGAAGGGTTTTTTGTGTCTCTATTTCCTTCAGTTCTGCTCTGATCTTCTTAGTTATTTCTTGCCTTCTGCTAGCTTTTGAATGTGTTTGCTCTTGCTTTTCTAGTTCTTTTAATTGTGATGTTAGGGTGTCAATTTTAGATCTTTCCTGCTTTCTCTTGTGGGCATTTAGTGCTATAAATTTCCCTCTACACACTGCTTTGAATGTGTCCCAGAGATTCTGGTATGTTGTGTCTTTGTTCTCATTGGTTTCAAAGAAAATCTTTATTTCTGCCTTCATTTCGTTATGTACCCAGTAGTCATTCAGGAGCAGGTTGTTCAGTTTCCATGTAGTTGAGTGCTTTTGAGTGAGTTTCTTAATCCTGAGTTCTAGTTTGATTACACTGTGGTCTCAGAGACAGTTTGTTATCATTTCTGTTCCTTTACATTTGCTGAGGAGTGCTTTACTTCCAACTATGTGGTCAGTTTTGGAATAGGTGTGGTGTGGTGCTGAAAAGAATGTATATTCTGTTGATTTGGGTTGGAGAGTTCTGTAGATGTCTATTAGGTCCACTTGGTGCAGAGCTGAGTTCGATTCCTGGATATCTTTGTTAACTTTCTGTCTCGTTGATCTGTCTAATGTTGACAGCGGGGTGTTAAAGTCTCCCATTATTATTGTGTGGGAGTCTAAGTCTCTTTGTAGGTCTCTAAGGACTTGCTTTATGAATCTGGGTGCTCCTGTATTAGGTGCATATATATTTAGGATAGTTAGCTCTTCTTGTTGAATTGATCCCTTTACCATTATGTAATGGCCTTCTTAGTCTCTTTTGATTTGTGTTGGTTTAAAGTCTGTTTTATCAGAGACTAGGATTGCAACCCCTGCCTTTTTTTGTTTTCCATTTGCTTGGTAGATCTTCCTCCATCCCTTTATTTTGAACCTATGTGTGTCTCTGCGTGTGAGATGTGTTTCCTGAATACACCACACTGACGGGTCTGGACTCTTTATCCAATTTGTCAGTCTGTGTCTTTTAATTGGAACATTTGGCCCATTTACATTTAAGGTTAATATTGTTATGTGTAAATTTGATACTGTCATTATGGTGTTAGCTGGTTATTTTGCTCGTTAGTTGATGCAGTTTCTTCCTAGACTCGATGGTCTTTACAATTTGGCATGTTTTTGTAGTGGCTGGTACCAGTTGTTCCTTTCCATGTTTAGTGCTTCCTTCAGGAGCTCTTGTAGAGCAGGCCTGGTGGTGACAAAATCTCTCAGGATTTGCTTGTCTGTAAAGTATTTTATTTCTCCTTCACTTACGAAGCTTAGTTTGGCTTGATATGAAATTCTGGGTTGAAAATTCTTTAAGTATGTTGAATATTGGCCCCCACTCTCTTCTGGCTTGTAGAGTTTCTGCCGAGAGATTCATTGTTAGACTGATGGGCTTCCCTTTGTGGGTAACCCGACCTTTCTCTCTGGGTGCCCTTAACATTTTTTCCTTCATTTCAATTTTGGTGAATCTGACAATTATGTGTCTTGGAGTTGCTCTTCTCAAGGAGTATCTTTGTGGCGTTCTCTGTATTTCCTGAATTTGAATGTTGGCCTGCCTTGCTAGATTGGGGAAGTTCTCCTGGATAATATCCTGCAGAGGGTTTTCCAACTTGGTTCCATTCTCCCCATCACTTTCTGGTACACCAATCAGATGTAGATTTGGTCTTTTCACGTAGTCCCATGTTTCTTGGAGGCTTTGTTTGTTTCTTTTTATTCTTTTCTCTCCAATCTTCTCTTCTCACTTCTTTTCATTCATTTGATCTTCCATCACTGATACCCTTTCTTCCACTTGATCGAATCGGCTACTGAGGCTTGTGCATTCGTCATGTAGTTCTCGTGTCTTGGTTTTCAGCTCCATCACGTCCTTTAAGGACTTCTCTGCATTGGTTATTCTAGTTATCCATTCATCTAATTTTTTTTCAAAGTTTTTGACTTCTTTGCCATGGGTTAGGACTTCATCCTTTGACTCAGAGTAGTTTAATCGTTTGAAGCCTTCTTCTCTCAACTCATCAAAGTCATTCTCCATCCAGCTTTGTTCCATTGGTGGTGAGGAGCTGCGTTCCTTTGGAGGAGGAGAGGCACTTGGATTTTCAGAGTTTCCAGTTTTTCTGCTCTGTTTTTTCCCCATCTTTGTGGTTTTATCTACCTTTGGTCTTTGATGATGGTGACGTACAGATGGGGTTTTGGTGTGGATGTCCTTTCTGTTTGTTAGTTTTCCTTCTCACAGTCAGGACCCTCAGCTGCAGGTCTGTTGGACTTTGCTGGAGGTCCACTCCAGACCCTGTTTGCCTGGGTATCAGCAGCGGAGGCTGCAGAACAGCGGATATTGGTGAACAGCAAATGTTGCTGCCTGAGCGTTCCTCTGGAAGTTTTATCTCGGAGGAGTACCCGGCCGTGTGAGGTGTCAGTCTGCCCCTACTGAGGGGTGCCTCCCAGTTAGGCTACTCGGGGGTCAGGGACCCACTTGAGGAGGCAGTCTGCCCATTCTCAGATCTCCAGCTGCTTGCTGGGAGAACCATTACTCTCTTCAAAGCTGTCAGACAGGGACATTTAAGTCTGCAGAGGATTCTGCTGCCTTTTGTCTGGCTATGTCCTGCCCCCAGAGGTGGAGTCTACAGAGGCAGGCAGGCCTCCTTGAGCTGCCGTGGGCTCCACCCAGTTCGAGCTTCCCGGCCGCTTTGTTTACCTACTCAAGCCTTGGCAATGGCGGGCGCCCCTCCACCAGCCTGGCTGCTGCCTTGCAGTTTGATCTCAGACTGCTGTGCTAGCAATGAGCGAGGCTCCATGGGCGTAGGACCCTCCAAGTCATGCACGGCATATAATCTCCTGGTGTGCCATTTGCTAAGACCATTGGAAAAGTGCAGTATTAGGGTGGGAGTGACCTGATTTTCCAGGTGCCGTCTGTCACCCCTTTCTTTGACTAGGAAAGGGAATTCCCTGATGCCTTGCACTTTCCGGGTGAGGCGATGCCTCGCCCTGCTTCAGCTCATGCTCGGTGCACTGCAACCACTGTCCTACACCGACTTTCTGACACTCCCCAGTGAGTTGAACCTGGTACCTCAGTTGGAAATGCAGAAATCACCTGTCTTCTGTGTCGCTCACGCTGGGAGCTGTAGACTGGAGCTGTTCCTCGTCCGACATATCATTTTAATTGTATTGATGATGAATACTCAATAAGAATCTACAAAATTGTTTACTTCCTTGACTTTTTAAAATTTTTTTTGAGATTTTATCGTGATATGGCATCTTGTATTAAGTAGAACTAAATTTGTTATTCCTTACTCTCCTACCCATCCCAATCGTCAGTTATGATTAATTACAATAATCAGAAAATTTACAATAGAATAAAATTCTTAAATTTTAGTTTCTTACAAAGTATAAGCAGAAATCTTTTTATGATTAATTGGGCAATGTTATAGTGAGATCAATGACAAAAGCAATATTGCCTAGGTGTTTTAAATAAAACTAATATCTTTAATATCTTGGAAATGTGAGCCTTATTAATATCACAGTCTAAACACAAAATTTGGACAATTCCAGAAGTCATTTCATTTCTTGGTTTCAATTTTCATATCTATCACAATTTTTTCTATTTTTCCACTTTTCTCATTGTTCACTTTTTGAATAATGATATATTTTTATGTCTGTGTTTTCAATACATTATTTTATTAAATTGAGTAACTATAATTAGTATATCATATTAAATATTTTTCCTAAAATACATTTAAATTATTAATAGAAGATAGATGGAAAATTATATATTTCTTTAAATTGGGATTCTTTAAACAGTATTATTGGTGTTTGGTCTGGATAATTCTTACTGAGGAGGGCTGCCCTGTGCATTGCAAGACACTTAGTAGGACCTCTGTCCTCCACTCACTAGATGTCAGTAGTGCCCCTTTTGTCTCCCCATTTCTGAAGCTGTGACCACCAAAAATGTTTCCATATATTGCCAGATGTCCTCTGAGGGGCAAAATAGTGGTCTCTGTTTGAGAAGCACTGCTTGAAACCAATGTAATAAGTTCTAATAAAGTTTCCCCAAATTATTGCAAGTTAATGTCTTGGAATACTACAGTGTAAACAAAAGAAGTAAATAATAAAATCTTTATTTTAATAAGTTATTTACTGCAAGTCTCCTAAAGGTGAAGTAAAAAGTGTGACCCCTGTGGAGGTACATTGCACTCCAAAACAACTACTTGAGTTTTCTAATTAATATGAGCAGAAATCTGGGGTGACATATGTGGGAATGGATATTAAGAGTGTGAGACAGGCCAGACACAGTGGCTCATGCCTGTAATCTCAACACTTTGGGAGGCTGAGGCAGGTGGATCACTCGAGGACAGGAGTTCGAGTCCAGCCTGGCCAATATGGTGAAATCCAAACTCTACTAAAAATGCAAAAATTATCCAGGTGTGGTGGTGGGTGCCTGTAATCTTAGCTACTCCAGAGGCTGTGGCAGGAGAATTGCTTGAACTGGGGAGGTGGAGGTTTCAGTGAGCTGAGATTGTGCCACTGCATTCCAGCCTGGGTGACAGAGAGAGACTCCATCTCAAAACAACAACAACAACAACAACAACAACAACAGACTGAGATAATGGTGGTAACTACTAACGTAATGTTGGATCATGCCAAATTTATCGATATGCACCCACTAAGAAGGGATCCTGAATTTAATGTTACAGCTTGAGGAGTTAAAAAAAGGCACTAATAGTTTTTTTGTTTGGTTGGCTGAGACAGCCCACCGTGAGTTAGCTAGAGATTCCTGATCTTCCTTGGTTTAACGTAGAAGAAATAATTCAAAAGTTTATAGAGATTAGAATGCTAGAATGAATTTGTCACATGAAACCTGCTCACCCAAACTGGGAGAGTGCAGAAGTTATACCTTTCAACTGTACTTTGTGAAATAGATTTATGAGAGGAGCATCAGCATCCTGGAAGAGCTCTGTGATTGCTCTTCTTCATATGCCAGACCTTATATAACACAGATTCTCAATTGGAAGACTTGCAAGGGGAATAATTGAATCCTGGAGCTACAGGGGCCAAGTGGTGGCATTCAACCACTAAAGCAAGTTGAGAGTAGCTACTATAATGGACAGCAGAGATAAAGTGAGAGTCACGATAGTCTAATTTGTTTTGACATGTGGTGTTGGCTAATCACCGTGTTCCTAGAAGTGAAATAGCGGGAAAGCCTACTACATTCTTTCTTGATCCATATAAGCAAAAAACTTCCATGTTCTGTTAATAGAAGTCTAACTTGATCCATAAAAACAGAATCATAGCCACCCCAATCAATGCCCAGACTTAAGTCAATTTACAGACCCAGAACCCCTTGAATGAAATGTAGGTCAGGGCTCCTTGAGGAAAGACCCTGATACACTACAGATAATTTATACTGTTAATCTTTCTCCCATCCTTCCCCAAAGGTAATTGTGTATTGGAGAAGGGGAAATAATCAGACTTTTCAGAGACTAGTGGACATTGACTGTGAACTGCCATTGATTCAAGGAGACCTAAACTGTCATTGTGGCTGTCCAGTTTTGTTGCGGGAAGTCAGGAACCCCAAATGGAGGGACCAGCTGAAGCCATGGCAGAGGAATATAAATTGTGAAGATTTCATGGACATTTATCAGTTCCCGAACAATAATTTTATGTTTTCTTATGCCTGTCTTACTTTAATCTCTTAATCCTGTTATCTTCCTAAGCTGAGGATGTACATCACCTCAGGACCACTGTGATAATTGTGTTAATTGTAGAAATTGATTGTAAAACATGTGTGTTTGAACAATATGAAATCAGTGCACCTTGAAAAAGAACAGAATAACAGCAATTTTTAAGGAACAAGGGAAGACAACCATAAAATCTGACTGCCTGCAGGGTCGGGCAAAAAGAGCCATATTTTTCTTCTTGCAGAGATCCTATAAACTGACATGCAAGCAGGAGAGATATCACTAAATGCTTTTTCCTAGCAAGGAATATTAATATGAATACCCTAGGAAAGGAATGCATTTCCTGGGGGAGGTCTATAAACGGCCACTCTGGGAGTGTCTGTCCTATGCAGTTGAGATAAGGACTAAGATACACCCTGGTCTCCTGCAGTACCCCCAGGCTTACTAGGGTGGGGAAAAACTCCACCCTGATAAATTTGTGGTCAGACCAGTTCTCTGTTCTCGAAACCTGTTTTCTGTTGTTTAAGATGTTTATCAAGACAATAAGTGCACTGCTGAACAAAGACCCTTATCCGTAGTTCTGCTTTTGCCCTTTGCCTTGTGATCTTTGTTGGACCCTTATCAGTAGTTCTGCTTTTGTCCTTTTTCCTGTTCCCTCAGAAGCATGTGATCTTTGTTAGACCATTATTAGTAGTTCTGCTTTTTGCCCTTTGAAGCATGTGATCTTTGTACCTACTCCCTGTTCTTAAACCTCCTCCGCTTTTGAAATCCTTAATAAAAACTTGCTGGTCTGAGACTCAGGCAGGCATCACAGTCTTACCAATATGTGATGTCACCCCTGGCGGCCCAGCTGTAAAATTTCTCTCTTTATACTGTCTCTCTTTATTTCTCAGCTGGCTGACACTTATGGAAAATAGAAAGAACCTATGTTGAAATATTGGGGGGATGTTCCCCCAACACAGCTTGAAAAGAAGCTCACAGAGGTCAGGTGATTCATGGAGTTTAGCTCAGATTTGACTTACAGTAGGTCCAATGGTGTCCTGATTGTATCCTGTGATCATTTCCCCAGTTCCAGATGCATAATGGGAATAGACATACTTTGCAGCTGGCAGAATTCCATCACAGATACCCCTAACCTGTGGAGTGGACACTATTGTGATGAGAAAGGCCAAATGGAAGCTATTAGAGCCTCCTCTACACAGGAAAATGGTAAATCACAAACAATATTGCATCTAGGGAGAGATTTCAGAGATTAGTACCACCATCAATGACATGAAAGATGCAGGACTGGTAGTTCCCCACATACCCTTTAACTCTCTTATTTAACCTGTGCAGAAGGCAGATGGATATTGGAGAATGACAGCAGATTATCATAAGCTTAACTAAATAGTGACTCCAATTGTAACTGTGCAATTTCCAGTGTCCAAAAACCAAATAACCTAGAGTCTGAAGAGCAGAGAGAAAGAGAGTAAATCCTCATTCTTCTACCTGTTTTGTCTCAGCTGAGCCCCCAGCCCATTGGATAGTGGCCATGCACATTGTGGGTAGGGTTTCTCTCAACGTCCATTGACTCGCATGTCAATCTCCTCAGGAAAGACCCTCACAGGAACACCCAGGAACAATGCTTTGCTAGACATCTAGGCATCCCTTAATCCAATAAAGCTGACACCTAAAATTAAGCATCACACCCAATATTACATTCCCATTTCCTGCAAAAAAAATAGTAACTACTTTAAATACCTTATCTCATTATGACACTATTCACCACATGCTATCATATTAAAAGGCAATGCTACCTGATCCAAATATTTTGATTTAGCAAAAGAATAATATGTTAGTTATTTTTTTTCCTGAGAAGACACTGAGACATTGTTAACAGCTCAAGCCTCTTGTTTGGAGTAACTTGTAAAAAGATCAAGGGATAGAGGAACATACAAAGAAAAGCTTATACAGCTTATCCACTATTGGTGGGAATGTAAATTAGTTCAGCCACTGTGGAAAATATTTTGGAGAGTTTTCAAAGAACTTAAAACAGAGCTACCATTTGACCCAGTAATCCCATAAATGAGTGTAACTCGGTATATACCCTGTGATGGTTAACACTGAGTATCAACTTGATTGGATTGAAGGATGCAAAATGTTGATCCTGGGTGTGTCTGTTAGGGTGTTGCCAAATGAAATTAACGTTTGAATCAGTGGGCTGGGAAAGGCAGACCCATTCTTAGTCTGGATGGGCACCATCCAATCAGCTGCTAGCACAGCCAGATATAAAGCAGACAGAAAAACATGGAAAAGGTAGACTGACTTAGCCTCCCAGCCTGTATCTTTCTCCTGTGCTGCATGTTTCCTGCCCTCGAACATTGGACTACAGATTCTTAAGCTTTGGGACTTGGACTGGCTTCTTTGCTCCTCAGCTTGCAGATGGCCTATTGTTAGACCTTGTGATAATGTGTGTTAATACTACTTAATAAACTCCCCTATACATATATATGTGTGTGTGTTGTATATATATGTTATATATCTTAATTTTATTTGTTCTTTCCCTGTAGGGAACTCTGACTAATACAGATTTTGGTACCAGGAGTGGTTCTAGAGGAACAGAATATTAAGGACTGAATTCTTCCATTGGTTTGGGGGTTTCTGGAGTTGACTGCTGAATATGAATGGACCCAAACATGTTAAGGACTCTACTTCTCATACTAGGGAGAATACTGATAGTCCTTGACATGAACTGTTTGGAGAGTTATGCAAAATAAATACATATGACACTCCTGATTCACCACTTGTGAGAGGCAAGGAGTTTAGTGACTTTATACATACTACCTTTTATGATATGTGGAAAGCCAAGGAACATAATGAAGTGGTCAGTTGCTCCTAAGTTTGCTGGACAAAGTGATGAAAGAAAATAATGAACTCAGGGATTCTAACTCTTGGCTTCACTAGCAGACATAGAGGCTCAAATCTGCTAAGATTGCCCTGTGTGTGAGTCTTATCTCCTGTAGAGAAAGCTGAAATTGTGGAAAAACAGACATAAGCTCTTATCATGCTAGTGGCTGGCCTGCAATGAAAGGTGCATGCACAGCCTCACCAGGTGCCTACTGTTAAAATGAGGGCATTGATTGGAAAAGAATGGGGTCCTGCAACTTAGAATGGGATGTGTTGGAGGACTCTGATGATGCTGGGGACACTGAGCTTGTAAACTCTGATGAACCATTTTTTAAGAAGAAACACCTTTCCCATCCCCAGTCCTGGCAACATCCCATCCCAGACCCATGCTGCCATCAGCCTTTCCACCTTTGTCTGAGGAGATAAACCCTGCACTGCCTGAGGCAAGAGTGATGGCCTCCCCTGAGGCAGTTTCCAGGCAAGATATTGTTGATTCTTCTCAGGAGCCACCCCAACACCCTTGTTTACTTCTAGATCTATAACTAGACTGAAGTCCTGGAAGGCCCCTAGAGGTGAAGTTCAGAGTGTGACCTATAAGGAGGTGCACTACACTTGAAATGAACTGCTTGAGTTTTCTAATTTATATAAGCAGAAATCTGGAGAACAGATGTGGAATGGATATTAAGGTGTGGGATAATTATGGAATGAACAGAGAGTTGGATCAGGCTGAATGTATTGACTTTGGCCCACTAAGTAGGGATTCTGCATTTAATGTTGCAGTTTGGGGAGTTAAAAAAGGTTCTAATAGTTTATTTGCTTAGTTAGCTGAAATATGGATTAAAAGATGGCCCACTGTGTGTGAGCTTGAAAAGCCTGATCTCCCTGGATTTAATGTAGGATAAGGGATCCAAAGGCTTACAGAGATTGGGATGGTGCAGTGGATTAGTCACTTTAGACCTACTCATCTCAGCTGGGAGGGTCCAGAAGATATACCCTTGACCAATGCTTCGCAAAATAGATTTGTGAGGGCAGCACCTGCATCTATGAACAGCCCTGAAATTGCTCTTCTCTGTATGTCAGATCTAACAATGGGAACCATGGTCACTCAACTACAAAATTTAAATACAATGGGAATAATTGGATTCCAAGATGGCAGGGGCCAAGTGGCAGCACTCAAACGTCAAAGGCAAGGTGGGTGTAGCTACCATAATGGACAGCAGAGGCAAAGCAGCAATCAGAATAGTCTGACTCGTGTAGAACTCTGGCCATTGGCTGATTAATTACAGTGTTCCTAGAAGTAAAACTGATAGGAAGCCTACTACATTCCTACTAAATTTACATAAGCAGAAAATTTCCAGATTAATTTCCAAATTAATCAGGCAAAGATTAATTTGAATATAAAAACAGAGAATCATGGCCCCTCAATCAATTTCTTGACTTGAGCCAGTTTACAGACCCAGAAAGAAGAGGAGACTGAGTCCCCTTGAGAAAAGACCCCACTACACTGCCAACACTTTATGCTGTTAATCATTCACCCATCCTTCCCTTTGGAGAACTCCAGCCTTGTACCAGGGTAACTGTGCACTGGGGAAACGGAAATGATCAGACATTTTGAGGACTAGTGGGCACTGACTCTGATCTGGAATAGACACTTACTCCGGATATGGGTTTGCCTATCTTGCACGCAATGCTTCTCTCAAGACTACCAATCTGTGGGTTCACAGAATTCTTTATCCACTGTCATGGTATTCCACAAAGCATTGCCTCTTACCAGGCACTCAGTTTATGGCTAAAGTAGTGCAGCAGTGGGCTCATGCTCATGGAATTTACTGGTCTTGCCATGTTCACCATCATTCCAAAGCAGTTTGATTGACAGAACAGTGGAATGGCCTTTTGAAGTCACAATTACAATGCCAACTAGGTTACAATACTTTGAAGAGCTGGGGCAAAGTTCTCCAGAAGGCCATGTATGCTCTGAATCAGCGTCCAATATATGGTACTCTTTCTCCCATAGCCAGGATTCCTGGGTCCACGAATCAAGGGGTGGAAGTAGAAGTGACACCACTCACCATCACCCCTGTGATCCACTAGCAAAGTTTTTGCTTCCTGTTTTCCAACATTATGTTCTGCTGGCCTACAGATCTTAGTACCAGAGGGAGGAACACTGTCACCAGGAGACACAACAATGATTCTATTAAACTGGAAGTTAAGATTGCCGTCTGGACCCTTTGGGCTTCTCCTACCTTTATGTCAACAGGCTAAGGAGGGAGTTACAGTGTTGGCTAGGGTGATTGACCCGGACTGTCAAGATGAAATCAATCTACTACTCCACAATGGAGGTAAGGAAGAATATGCATAGAATACAGGACATCCATTGGAGTGTCTCTTAGTATTACCATGCCCTGTTATTAAGGTCAATGGGAAAATACAGCAGCCCAATCCCGGCAGGACTACAAATGGTCCAGATCCTTCAGGAATGAAGGTTTGGGTTACTCCACCAGAAAAAAACCACAATCTGCTTAGGTGCTTGCTAAGGCAAAGGGAATAATACAGAATGGGTAATAGAAGAAGGCAATCATCAATACCAATTATGACCATGTGACAAGTTGCAAGAACTAGGGCTGCAATTGTCAGGAGTATTTCCTCTTTCTTTTGTTAAAAACATGTTTGTGCATGTATACACTTGTACTAAGAAAATATCCTCATTTTTTTTCCTTTTTCCTTTATCATGTGACATAAAATTTATTGACTTAATATCAGCATTTAAATTTTGTTATCTTTATATAATAGCATTTGGGTTAGATATTGGTGTGTTTCCAGTTGTACAAAGGATAGTTGTGTTATGTTAGGCACAATTATGACCTTATTATTGTCTTTATTTGAAGATTACGTATGATCTCAGGAGATGTGTATGAGTTCAAGCTGACAAGGAGTGGACTCCTGAGGGTTAATACTGATTGTCAACTTGATTGGATTGAAGGATGCAAAGTATTGATCCTGGGTGTGTCTGTGAGGGTGTTTCCAGAGGAGACTGGCATTCAAATCAATATGGGAAAGGTAGAATCATTCTTAGACTGAGTGGGCACCATCTAATCAGCTGCCAGCACAGCCAGGTTATAAAGCAGGCAGAAAACCGTGAAAAGGCTAGACTGGCTTAGCCTCACAGCCTACATCTTTCTCCCATACCGGATGTTTCTGCATTCAAACATCAGACTACGTTCTTCAGCTTTTGGACTCAAACTGGCTTCCTTGTTCTTAGTTTGCAGATGTTCTATTGTTAGACTTTGTGATCATGTGAGTCAATACTATGTAATAAACTCCTCTTTATGTATGTGTGTGTGTGTGCGTGTGTGTATATATATATATCATATTATTTCTGCTCCATTAGAGAATCCTGACTAATACATACCCAAAAGAAAATAGATCATTCTACCAAAAAGACACATGGACTCTTATGTTTACTATTGCATTAGTTCACAATACCAAAGATACAGAATCAACCCAAGTGCCCATCAATGGTATATTAAATAAAGAAAATGTGATATATATAGATTCTAGAATACTATGCAGATATAAAAAAAGAATGAAATCATGTCCTTTGTGGCAACATGGATGGAGCTGGAGGCCATAACCCTACGCAAATTAACTCAGGAACAGGAAAGTAAATACCACATGTTCTCATTTATAAGTCAGAGCTAAACATTGAGCACACATGGGCATAAACATGAGAAAAATAGATAATGTGGGCTACTAGGGGATGGAATGGGGAGAGATGGGTTTAAAAACTACCTATAGGGTACTATGCTCACTTCCTGGGTGATAGGATTTGTGTCCCAAACTTCAGTACCATGCAGTATTCTCATGTAATAAATCTGTACATTTTCCCTGTTTCTAAAATGAAAGTTGAAAAAAATTAGAGGAAAGTTGATAAAAACTATATATCCCACATAAATAAAATGTTGAAAAACATGCAAAGTTGTATTAATAGATAGTTATCTGAAAATATAGTCATTCTGTTGTCAGATTGTCTATTATTGTAGTTTTGATTAGTATTTCTCTGATAATTAGTGATGCTGATAAATTTTTCATATGTTCATTGGCCACTTAATGTCTTCTCTGAGAAGTGGTTGTTCATGTCTTTGCCCACTTTGTAACGGGGTGATTTGTTTTGTGCCTGTTGAATTGTTTCTTATAGATTCTAAATATTAGACCTTTGTCAGACGCCTAGTTTATGAATATATTTTCTCATTCTGTAGTTTTTCTGTTTACTGTGCTTATAGTTTCTTTTGCTGTGCAGAAGCTATTTAGTTTAATTAGGTCCCACGTGTCAATTTTTGTTTTTGTTGCAATTACTTTTGAAGATTTAGTCACAAATTCTTTCCCAAGGCCAATATCCAGAATGGTGTTTCCTAGGATTTCTTCTAGGATTCTTATAATTTTAAGTCTTAAATTTAAATCTTTAATCTATCTTGAGTTAATTTTGTATACGGTGAAAGATAGGAGTCCAGTTTCAATTTTCTGCACATGGCTAGTCAGTTATCCCAGCATCATTTATTGAATTGGGAGTCCTTTCCCTATTGCTTATTTTTATTGACTTCATCAAAAATCAGATGCTATAGGTGTGTGACTATTTCTATGTTCTGTAATCTGTTCCATTGGTCTATGTGTATGTTTTTGCACCAGTGCCATGCTGTTTTGGTTATTATGTCCTTATAGCATAGTTTGAAGTTGAGGAACAAGATGCCTCCAGCTTTGTTCTTTATTCTTAGGATTGCTTTGGCTATCTGGAATATTTTTTGGCTCCATGTGAATTATAGAACTGTTTTTACTAATTCTTTGAAGAATGACATTGTTAGTTTGATAGAAATAGCATTAAATCTGTAGACTGCTTTGGGCAGTATGGCCATTTTAATGATATTAATTATTTTAATCCATGAGCATAGAATGTCTTTCCATGTTTGTCCCATGTATTACTTCTTTCAACAGTCTTTTGTAGTTAACTTTGTAAAGATATTTCACCTCCTTTGTTACATGTATTCTTAGGTATTTTATTTTTTGTGTAGCTATTGTAAATTAGATTGCATTCTTGATTTGGCTGTCAGCTTGAATGTTTTTGGTGTATAGAAATGCTACTGATTATTATATATTGATTTTGTATCCTGAAACTTTATGGAAGTTGTTTATCAATTCCAGGAATCTTATGGCAGAGTCTTTTGGGTTTTCTGAGGTATCAGATCATACCATCAGTGAAGAGAGATAGTTTGGCTTCTTCTTTTTCCAGGGATGACTTTTCTTTCTTTCTTTTGCCTGACTGCTCTGGCTACGACTTCCAGTACTATGTTAAATAGGAGTGGTGAGAGTGGGCATCCTTGTCTTCTTCTAGTTTTAAGGGGAATTGTTCCAGGTTTTGACCATTCAGTATGACGGTGGCTGTCGGTTTGTCACAGATGGCTTTTAGTATTTTGAGGTATAAAACAAAATTTATTTTGCCCAAATAATGCTTCATTTGCTTAATAGATTTATTGTTAAAATAACTCTGCAAAGACATAAGAAATAACTGCTATAAATTGGTTTAATTGTCATAAGTTTTGTACATGTATAAAATATTTAAAAAGTAAATTTAAAAAAAATACAAGGGGCAAAACAAATGTTAGTGTACCTTGAATAAAACCCCGAGTATCATTTTTCTTCTGAGTTATTAGATAACTCTTTCTGGCAAGCAATCACATAAATATTAAAATATTGCAAAAATATTCCAATCTACAAAAATACAAAAAATTGATAAATATCATCATCCCTATCAAATAGTCTATATAATGTGCATTAGAAACAATTTTAAGATCACATATAACACATGTATTTGGTGTACTTACATTATTTGAAAATCTAATTACCATAGTGTGTATTTATGAAGATACCACTAATAATCATGAAATAATAAAAATAATTATATTCATCTGTGAAAAAATTAATATTAATCAAATTATTTTACCAATAATATTGAACAAATATCATATAACATGAAGATACTAAGAAAATTCAGGATATCTATTTACCAAAGGAAAAGATATATTCAATAATAGACTACTGCTCAAAATGTGAGTCAGCAAAATATTGCTTAATTATTTTCATGTTCTCTCAAGAGATTTCTGAAAGGTCTGTTCTCTGTCTTCTTCACCATTCTTTTTAGATATTTCTATGCAGTGTAATTTCAACACATCATCTCTCTGCTTCCGAAGGTTTAATATTTGCCAGTTGCATTAGGAAGTTCAAACCCTTTCACAGTTATTTCCCTGTCTACTTCTTGAGCTTCATTCTAACCCTTACGGAAGACTATTCTATTCACACAAGAGATTCACTGAACAAACCATGACCTTTCACTCTTCCCTGGTATGATGCTTATTTTGTTTCCTCTGGGCTTTTCTGGTGTGTGTTTGTGTGAATAAGTCCCATAATCCTTGCCCCACCTCTGTCAAGTTCTTTAATAAACCTCTTCTGTTCCATCAAATTATAGGCCAAATATAAAGTATTTATTTATAAGACATATTATGTCTATGAGGCCACTCATTATATATTTTAAACAATAACGTTTTAAAGTACAATTGCCAATATACTTGGATTTGTAGCCTGGCTTTGTCACTTGCAAGCTATAACAATGTGTGAAAGTTACCTTGCTCAAGTTACTTAAGCTCTTTGAAATGCAGAATGTTGAGTGAATAGTACTAAACTTAAAGATTATTGGAAGAGATCATATGATGTATTTCAATTGCAGACTTCAGTTCCTTGAGCAGTATAAATATGTAAAAAATGCTAGATTACATAATAAAATGCACTATACTTCATTCCAACATAAAATAAATCCAATGTTTTTTCAGATTACACTCACTTTTTAAATTGATGCATAATAATTGTACATATTTAAGAGGTACAATATGATGTTTTGATATCTGTCCACATTAGGTAATGATCAAATCATGGTAATCAGCACATCCATCACTTTAAACATTTATCATTTCTTCACAGTGAGAACATGTCACATCCTCTCAGCTGGCTATTTGAAATATAAAATGCATTATTGTTAGCAATAGTCATGCTATTGTGAAATAGAGTACCAAAACTTATTCTTCCTATGTAATATAACATCGTGCCTATTGACTAACATCTCCCATGTTCCTCTCCCCACTATTCTTCTCTGGTAATCACTTCAGTATTTTATTCTCCACTTGTATGAGATCTCAGATTCCACATATAAGTGAGATTATGCAGTATTTGTCTTTATGTGTCTGGCTTATTTCACTTAACATAATATCCTCCAGACTTACCCATTTTGTCACAAGTGATAAGATTTCATCCTTTGTATGGTTGAACAGTATTCCATTGTATTCCCCACATATATAGCATTTTCTTTATCCATTCATCCCTTGATGGGCACTTAGGTTGATTCCGTATCTTGGCTATTGCAGATGTCTTTTTAACATAGTCATTTCCTTTGGCTATATATCCAGTGGTGAGAAATTGCCGGATCATGTAGTCTTTTTTTTTTTTATCATGATTTGATTATTTCATAATGTGTACAGGCATTTATTTTTACTTTTTCTGGGAACCTCCATTCTGTGTTCATAATGGATATACTAATTTACATTCCCACCAACAGTATATAAGAGTTCAACCTTCTCCACATCCTCAGGAGCATGTGTTATGTTGTGTCTTTTTGATAAAAGCCATCCTAACAAGTGTGAGGTGATAACTCATTATGGTTTCAATTTGCATTTCCCTGATGATTAGTGATGTTGAGCATTTTTTTCCTGTATCTACTGGATATTTGTAGGTCTTCTTAGAAGAAATGTCTATTTAGGTTACTTGCCCATTTTTAAATTAGGTTATTTATATTTTTGCTATTGAGTTGTTTATTTTAAATTCTGGATATTAACCCCTTGTCAGATGTATAGCTTGCAAATACTTCTTCCCATTCTGTCTTTTCACTTCATTGACTGTTTCTTTTGCTATACAGAAGCTTTTTGGTTTACTGTATTCCCATTTGTTTATTTTTGCTTCTGTTGCTCATGCTTTTGAAGTCTTATCTAAAAAATCCTTGCTCCAATTTATATCATTTAGCATGTCCCCTGTGTTTCCTTCTAATAGTTTCACAATTTCAGATCTTACATTTAAGCCTATAATACATTTTGAGTTGACTTTTTATGTGGAGGGTGATAAGGGTCCAGTTTTGTTTTGTTTTTTTGCATGTAGATATCAAGTTTTTCCATAACTCTTTACTCAAGAGACAGTTCTTTATTCATTTTGTATTCTAGGCATCTTTGTCAAATAGAGTTGGCTGTTAGCTTAAAAAATATTGCCTTTATATATGCAAATTCATTTCTGGGCTCTCTGTTTTTTTCCATTGGTCTACTTGTCTGTTCGTATGTCAATACTATATTGTTTTGGTTACTACAGACTTATAGTTTAGATTAAAATTAGATAGTGTAATGACTTCAACTTTGTTCTTTTTGTTTAAGATTGCTTTGGCTATTCAGTCTTTTGTGGTTCCATACAAATTATAAAATTGCTTTTTTCTATTTCTGTGAAGAACAACATTGGAAAGTTGATAGAGATTGCATTGAATCTGTAGATTGTTTTGGGTATTATTGATGCATTGCATCTATGTTCGTTGGGAATATTGGCCTATAATTTTCTTTTTTGGCCTATAATTTTCTTTTTTTTTTTTTGACCTACAATTTTCTTTTGTTGTTGTTGTGCCCTTGTCTGGCTTTGGCATGAGGGTAATACTGGCCTTACACAATGAATTTTGAAGGATTCTCCTATTTTCAATTTATCGGAATATTTTTTGAAGAATTGATATTCATTTTTTCTTAAATGTTCTGTAGAATTCAGCAGTTAAACTAACAGTCCTTCACTTTTTTTATGGGAGACTTTCTATTATTTCTTCAATTTGGTAACTCATTATTGGTCAGTCCAGATTTTCTTTCTTTTTTTTTCTTGATTCAATTCTGGTAGATTGTATGTGTCTAGGAATTTGTAACTGATTTTGATTAGTCTTTCACTAGTGGCTCTTTGACTCATACTTCATAGAACTGTGCTACTCTGTATACATGAGTAATGTTTCAAACTGGAATTTTATTTTTAACGTAAAGATGACTAATATAAGAATAAATTTTTCAGAAGAAAGAGCTATGAAAAAGTGTTTAGACACTTGGAATTTGTATCTTTTGAAAAATATAAATGTGTTAACTATTATACTAACAAACATGCTATAAAACATGTTTAGCCCAGGCATTGTGGCTCATGCCTGCAATCCTAGCTCTTTGGGAGACTGAGGTGGATCACTGGAGCCCAGGAGTTTGAGACCAACCTGGGCAACACGACAAAACCCCATCTCTACAAAAATACAAAAAAAAATTAGCCAGGTGTGATAGTGTGTACCTGTAGTTTAAACTCCTTGGGAGACTGAGGTCCAAGCTACTGGGAGGTCAAGCTTGCAGTGAGCTGAGATTGCACAACTGAACTCCAGCCTGGGTGACAGAGGAAGACCCTGTCTCATAAAATAGTTTAATATTCCTTTTAATAACTCATTTAATCGTTTTATTTGCTATTTTATAGCATTTTGTAGCTAGGTTTGGGAGGTAAGGTCTTAGGAATGCAATCAAGAGATTTGTATGTAGAGTTAACTCTAGTTAAACATTATGTATGTCACTACCTGAAAACTTTAATAGCAACTAAATTTGTGGCCTCCGGCTATATTTATTGCTATTAATATTTTGTTTAGTGTGTGCAGTTTAAAACCATATGTTTTATTATAGCAAGGGTAATATGCCAACTAGTCCCATTGTTTGAAATTGAGAATAACATTGTTTTATTGATATGAATTATTCTTTTCAGTTTTTTAAATGTATAAAAGTTGGATATTTAAAGTATTATAGAAAGATTACCTCTAAGAAACAAAAAATGTTAAACAGAAGCAGCAGTTGTGTACATGACTGTGTATAATGCATATTAATGGGACCTTCTAAGCAAGAGCCCTGAGTAACTTCACTGGTCTAGCACAAAAAAAAAAAAAAAAAAAAAAAAAAAAAAAAAAAAAAAAAAGCCCTATTCTCAGGTAATACTTTTTTAAAGTGTTTTATAGACTTCAATAAAATTGGTTCTTATTATATGTAATTTAAGTATAAATTTTCATATCTCTCCTTTTACATTGTGAAAAATGTATACGAGTAGAGTATATAAATTTTTGCTTTAACTCTCACTTGCAATTTTATGTCTTACAGTTTTATAGAAAATTGTATATCGCATCATGATATTCAAGAATCAAATATTTGGTATCATACCTCACCCCAGTCTGCTCATATTCATTTATAACTTACTTTCAAAATAGCAGACTGTGAAAAATCCACTGGTTTGCAACCCTCCATATTATCCATGCATCATTTATGTAAAAGCTTTACTAATTCTAGTTTTTAGTCCTAGTTATTGTATTTGCAGACTGTTAAAATAGCACTGAGATTTTAGGAGTAATACAATTGGATCCAGAGACAAACATAACAAAAAATTTATTATTTGTTACTTTAAACTTTTTCAGTTTTCTGAAGTTATTCATTCTTAAGTAACTGACGTAAAAATACTTTGTATTAGTCTTAAATTTTACATTTGAAATGACAGTCTTGAAAATATAAATAAATGCCAACTTTTATGACTAAATATTTTATTTTCTATACATCTTTCTAATGGCAAAACTAAATTTAAAAAACAAAACTCCTTCTTCTCCAAGATTGCTGACTAGCCACAGCCAAGTGGCACATCTCACACTGAGGGACAGAGACATTGTGCAGACTGGTGCAATTCTAGCAGATCTTCAGAGGCAAGGCACTGAGAGCACACAGAGGAAAGACACAGAGGCTTGGCTGAAGAGGGAGAAAGTTGGGAACCTGACATGGGGCTACCATACACTGGAATTTGTTCCTAGCACCCAATTACTGCTGCGGAGGTGGTGAATCGAACAGGCAAGGAGCAACCTGTTGTCATCATAGGCCTTTGGATTCCTAGCAGGAAGAGACCCCTCGACTACCACAGATACTTGAGTTGGTAAGGAAAGCTGCTTAGAGAAGAGGTAGAGGCAGAATTCCAGCCTGGGCACAACCCAGAAGGTTTGGTACAGGAGTGTCTGTAGTGAAGCATAGCCAGGGATGTCCATCCCCTAGGCTCAACTTGCTCCCAGAAAAGACTTTAGTCCTAGGGAACTGTTGGACCTGAACTTTGCATGGCAGTCTTGCCCATGACATGGGGCCAGTCCAACCTGAGCACTTCTTGGTCTGCTGGCCCCTCCTGAGTCCCAGCCTGGTTGTGCCTGTCAGCAGTGCAGCTCTCAGGTCCTCCTGGGAGTCTGCACCATAGCTCCTGCACTGCTGGACCATGTCTGACCAGCAGAGTGCTCCAACAGAGCACCACAAAGACATGCACCAGCTTCTTCATGCCCTCCCCTTACCCAGAGTCTCACCCATGCCACTTTGTCTGCAGGCATTCACCTACAGCCACCCCCCATACTGCTCTGCCAGTGCATTTGCATGGGCAGACCATCCTTCCCTTCCCAGCCACTGCTGCCAGCAGGAGTGCACTCTACCCTCAGCACCACACCACTGTTTCCCTCTGAATATTAGGAGGCACAAAGTCCACCAGCCCCACTGGCCACAGTGCCCCATTCCCACCAGTGCCCCACCCTCAAGCTAACACCACCTTGGGTATGAACCCATGCACAGCTGTCGGCATGGGCCCCCTCCCTCGAGCCATACTGCCACCACCACTGCTCTGAATGCATGCCTACAGGCTAGCACCCCACCACAGCTAACAAATGTGAAGCCTGCCACACTGCTGCTACTTCTGCTGCTGCTGGCACATGCAAACCAAGATGGATCCCTTTGCCACTGCCCCAGGAAGTGCTTTGGCTGGCAACACTCATTGGAATGTTGTGATCAGCAGCCCAGGAGAAACTTGACCTCTCCAGCATAGCAGGTTCCTAATCTGTAGGAGCCAGAGATCAAAGCCAAGGCCTGATACCACTCCGCCAGAATTAGACCACACAGTACAGGAGTCCTAAGCTGAATGCTGCCCCCCTAAAATCATCCAGTAATGAAGTCAGTTGCATGAACCCACCTTATACCTCAATCAAACCCCCAAGATAATCAAATAGGATAAAAAAAATCCAAAGGACAGAAAGTTCAAAGATTGAAGGAATAACAGCACACAAAGACAAAAAAAGGACAAGCACAAGAACTATGACAACTCAAAAAGCCAAAGTGTTTTCTTTCCCCCAAATTACTGTGCTACTTATCCAGCAAGGAGAGATGAGATGAACTGGACTGAGATGGCTGTGATGACAGAAATATAATTCAGAATATGGATAGGAAACATCATTATGATTCAAGAGATTGTTGAAACCCAATCCAAAGAAAGCTAAGAATAACAATAAAATGACACAGAAGCTGGCAGACAATATACGCAATATAGAAAAGAATGTAACTGACCTGATAGAACTGAAAAACACTCTACAAGAATTTCATAATGCAATCACAAGTATTAACAGCAGAATAGAACAAGTTGAGGAAATAATCTCAGAGCCTGAAGACTGGCTTTCTGAAATAAGACAGTCAAATAAAAAAAATAAAAAGGGCAAATGAAGCCTCCAAGAAATACAGGATTATATAAAAATACCAAATCTATGACTCATTGGTGTCCCTAAAAGAGATGGAGAAAATGGAAGCAAGTTGCAAAATGTATTTCAATACATTTAGAGAAGAGAAATTTCCATGAGAAATTTCCCAACCTAGCTAGAGAGGCCAACGTTCAAATTCAGGGAATGTTGAGAACCCCCACAAAATACTCCACAAGATCATACCCAAGACACAAAATCATCAGATTCTCCAAGGGCAAAATGAAAGAAAAATGTTAAAGCAACTAGAGAAAGGACCGGTCATCTACAAAGGGAAGTCCATTAGACTAACAGTGGACTTCTCAGCAGAAACCATACAAACCAGAAGAAATAAACATTCAACATTCTTAAAAAAAGCAATTCCACCTAAAAATTCTCCATCTGGCCAAAGCAAGCTTCATAAGCAAAGGAGAAATAAAATTATTTTCAGTCAAGCAAATGCTGATGGAGTCTGTTACCACCAGACCTACCTAACAAGAACTCCTGAAAGAAGCACTAAAAATGGAAAGAAAGACTATTATCAGCCACTACAAAAACATAATTAAATACTCAGACCAGTGAGACTATAAAGCAACCACATAAATATGTCATTATAATAAACAGCTAACAACATAATGACAGGATAAAATTCACACATATCAACACTAAACTTGAATGTAAATAGGCTAAATGCTCCCAATTAAAAGGCACAGAGTGACAAGCTGGATAAAGAAGCAAGGCCCAATGGTATGCTGTCTTCAAGAGACCCATCTCCCATGCAATGATACCCATAGGCTCAAAACAAAGGGATGATGAAAACACTACCAAGCAAATGGAAAACTGAAAAAAAGCACAGGTTGCAATCCTAATTTCATACAAAAGAGACATTAAACCAAAAAAGATCAAAAAAGACAGAGAAGGGCATTGCATACTGGTAAAGGGTTCAATTCAGCAAGAAAACCTAAATATCCTAAATATATATGCACCCAACACAGGAGCACTCAGATTTATGAAGCAGGTTCCTAGAGACCTGAAAGAGACTTAGACTCCCACACAATAATAGTGGGAAACTTTAACATCCCATTAACATTACTAGCCAGATCATCAAGGAAGAAAATTAACAAAGATATTCAGGACCTGAATTCAACACTAGACCAAATGAATCTGACAGACATCTACAGAACTGTTCACCCAAAACAGCAGCATATACATCCTTCTCATCTGCATATAGCACACATTCTAAAACTGACCACACAGTGGGACATGAGACAATCCTCAGCAAATGCAAAAGAACCAAAATCATACCAACCACTCTCTCAGACCACAGCACAATAAAAATAGAATTCAAGACTAAGAATATCACTCAAAACCATGCAATTACATAGAAATTAAACAACCTGCTTCTGAATGACTTTTGGATAAATAATGAAATTAAGGCATAAATCAAGAGGACTGAAACTACTGAAAACAAAGATAAAACCTGCCAGAATCTTTGGGTCATAGCTAAGGCAGTATTAACAGGGAAATTTTTAGCACTACACACCCACATCAGAAAGTTAAAAAGATCTGTTTAACAACCTAACATCACAACTAAAAGAACTAAGGAAGCAAAATCAAACCAATCCCAGAGCTAGCAGAAAGTAAGAAATAACCAAAATCACAACTGAACTGAAGGAGATACATAAAAATCCATTCAAAAGATCAACAAATCCAGGAGCTGGTTTTTTTGAAAAAAAATTACAGGATAGATAGACTGCTAGCTAGACTAATACAGAAGAAAAAAAGACCCAAATAAACACAATCAGTAACAACAAAGAAGACACTACCGCTGACCCCACAGAAACACCAATAATGATCAGAGACACTTATGAACACCTCTATGCACACAAACTAGAAAATCTACAAAAGATGAATAAATTCCTGGATACATACACCTTCCCAAGATGGAACCAGGAAGAAATGTGAATCCCCAAACAGACCAATAATGAACTCCAAAACTGAATCAGTAATAAACAGCCCACCAACCAAAAAAGCCCTGGAGCAGATGGAATCACAGCCAAATTCTACCATATATATAAAGATGAGCTGGTAACATTCCTACTGAAACTACTCTAAAAAAATTGAGGAGGAAGAAATCCTTGCCATCGCATTCTATGAGCCCAGCATCATCCTGATACCAAAACCTGGTAGAGACACAACAACAACAGAAACTTTAGGCCAATATCCTTGATGAACATTGATACAAAAATCCTTAACAAAATAGTAGCAAATGAAATCCAGCAGCACATCAAAAAGCTAATCCCCACAATCAGGTAGGCTTTATTTCTGGGATGCAAGGTTAGTTTAACATAGGCAAATCAATAAATGTGACTCAACATGTAAACAGAAGAAAAGACAAAAACCACATGATCATCGCAATAGATACAGAAAAGGCCTTTGATAAAATTCAACATCCCTTCATGTTGAAAACTCTTAACAAGCTAGGTAGTGAAGAAATATACCTCAAAGTAACAAGAGCCATCTATGAGAAACTCCCTGCCAACATCATATGGAATGGATCAAAGCATTCCCCTTGAAAATTTATACAAGACAAGAATGCCTTTTATCATCACTTTTATTCAACATAGTATTGGAAGTCCTGGCCAGAGCAGTCAGGCAAAAGGAAAAAGTGAAGGGCATCCAAATAGGAAGAGAGGAAGTCAAACTATCCCTGTTTCCAGATAGCATGATTCTATATCTAGAAAGCCCCAGAGTCTTGGCCTTAAAACTCCTTAAGCTGATAGACAACTTCAGCAAATTTAGGATACAAAATCAACGTACAGAAATCACCAGCATTCTTATACATCAACAACAGCCAAGCCAAGAGCCAAATTAGCAATGCAATCTTATTCACAACTGCCACAAAAAGAATAAAATACCTAGGAATATAGCTAACAATGGAGGTGAAAGATCTCTACAAAGAGAATTATGAAACACTACTGAGAGAAATCAGAGATGACACAAACAATTGGAAAAAACATTCCATGCTCATTGATCAGAGGAATCAATATCATTAAAATAGCCATACTGCACATAGCAATTTACAGATTCAATGCTATCCCTACAAAACTACCAACAACATTCTTCACAGAACTAGAAAAAACTATTTATATGGAACCAAAAAGCAGCCCAAATAGCCAAAGCAATTCTAAGCAAAAACAACAAAGCTGGAGGCATCATGCTTCCCAACTTCAAACTATATTACAGGGCTACAGTAAACAAAATAGCATGCTACTGGTACAAAAACAGACACATAGACCAATAGAACAGAATGGAGAGTCCAGAAATAAAGGTTCATGCCTGCAACCATCTTATTTTTAATAAAGTTGACAAAAACAAGCAACTGGGAAATACTCTCTATTCAATAAATGATGCTGGGATGACTGGCTAGCCCTATGCGGAAGATTGAAACTGGACCCCTTCCTTACACCATATGCTAAAATCAACTCAAGACGGAGACTGAAATGTAAAATCCACAACTATAAAAACCCTGGAAGACAACCTAGGTAATAGCATTCTTGACATAGACATGGGCAAAGATGTCATGATGAATACACCAAAATCAACTGCAACAAAAGCAAAGTAGACAAATGGGATCTAATTAACCTAAAGAACTTCTGCAAAGAAAAGGAAACTATCAACAAAGTAAACAGACAACCTACCTAATGGGAGAAAAGTTTTGCAAATTTTGCATCTGACAAAGGTCTAATATCCAGCAACTACAAGGAACTTAAGCAAATGTACAAGAAATACTGAAGAACTTCATTAAAAAGTGGGCAAAAGATATGAACACTTTCAGAAGACATACATGTGGCCAAAAAGCAAATGAAAAAAGCTCAATATCCCTGATCATTAGAGAAATGCAAATCAAAACCACAATGAAATATCACCTCACACCAGTCAGAATGGTTAGTATTAAAAAGTCAGAAAAATAACAGATGCTGTCAAGGTGGCAGAGAAAAAGGACACTTACACACTGTTGGTGGGAGTGTAAATTAATTCAATGATTGTGGAAAGCAGTTTGACAATTCCTCAAATAGTTTAAAACATAACAACCATTCAACACAACAATCCCCTTATTGGGCATATGACCAAAGGATTATAAACCATTGTGTCAGAAAGACACATGCATGTGCATGTTCATTGTAGCATTATTCACAACAGAAAAGTTATGGAATCAACCTAAATGCCCATCAATGATAGACTGGATAAAGAAAATATGGTACATATACATCATGGAATGCAATGCAGCCATAAAAAAGAATGAGATCATGTCCTTTGTAGGAACATGAGTGCAGCTGGAGGCCATTATCTTTAGCAAACTAATGCAGGAAAAGAAAACCAAATACCAAATATTCTCACATGTAAGTGGGAGATAAATGATGTATGGACACAGAGAGGGGAACGACAAACAGTGGGGCCTATCAGAGGATGAAATTAGGGAAAGGCTTAGAAAACATTACTATTGGATACTAAGCTTAGTACCTGGGTGACAAAATAATCTGTACATCAAACTCCTGTGACACAAGTTTACCTATGTAAACAAAGACACATGTACCTCTGAATCTAAAGCAACAAACAAATGAAACAAAGGGCTTGGTGCTTACTCAAAATTTCTGCTATGAATACTGTAACTGTGAAATAGCTTATTATATTAACTGCCTTTAATGTCCATAAAATGATAACTTATGAAAGATAAGTCTTAGTCTCTTTGTAATAATTTTTAGTGTGGGAATGTAGTAAAGTAGGAGAATTTTGCTCATATTGATATTTATCCTATGTGACGATGAAGCTACATTTTTTGAAGATTCATTTAAGCAAAAATGTAATTGCAGTAGGATGTTTAGCTCCTTTTAGTGTCCCTTTTTACGCTGGGGTCAGAAAACAAAACAAAAAAAATGGAGTTTCCGATATTTAATCCTTTATTACACCATATGTGGTACTGGGAAATAGTATACTTGGCATCACTCACTGAAGTTTGTTATAGAAGATTACTAAAATAGACAGTACATCTATTATTTTCTGAAGTAATGAACTACATTTATTTTATTTTATTTCTGAGACGGAGTCTCGTTCTGTTGCCCAGGCTGGAGTGCAGTGGCGTGATCTCAGCTCACTGCAAGCTCCACCTCGTAGGTTCACATCATTCCTGTCTCAGCCTCCCGAGTTGCTGGGACTACAGGCTCCTGCCACCACGCCCGGCTAATTTTTTTGTATTGTTAGTAGAGACGGGGTTTCACCGTGTTAGCCAGGATGGTCTTGATCCCCTGACCTTGTGATCCGCCCGCCTCGGCCTCCCAAAATGCTGGGATTACAAGCGTGAGCCACTGTGCCCGGCCTGAACTACATATTTATAAGAACTGCAGTAATGATGCTGTCTTTATTGAAATTGGTTGATTCTCTATTTCAACAGTTATTTTTTTCAGCAAAGGGATGAATGTCCAGTCATTTTCTGAAAGGTGAGAAATTTGAGAAGCAACTAACAAAATATAATGTGTGGATAGATATAGATGAAATAGGAAACTTTTGACATGGCACAAAGCATAATTTCATTTTTCTGCATGTATGTATTACTCTTGAACATTTAGAAAATTAGGCTTAGGAATTCAAATTACTTAAAACAACTCATCAGCTTCTCATACAGTTGCAAAATTATTTTACTTTTGAATTTTTTAAAATAATGAAATGGAGCTTTTGTGGAAATTCAAGAAAGTTCAGAATACCAGAAGCCCAATATATGTGTATTATCATATATGTATGTTCTTCATCTGCTTCTGTATGTGATCTAGGAGAAACCAAACATATTGCTTTTTTATGACTTTAGCAATGTTCACAACATAATTAATTCTACTTATCATAGTAAAAGGATGGACACAAGCATATATAAATGTGTATTTCAATTAAAGTGTATTCTCTGCCATGTGGCTTCAGGAGGGTATATAATGAACAAAATGGGAATAGGAGAAATAAAACATAACATATTAACTATATGAGTTCTAAGTGTATTTAGGGATTGTGTGGTTAGCTTTGGGTCCTGTTTCTTCTTCAAGTATCAGCAAAGTAGATCATAATCAAAATAAAGCACTAATTCAGTTCTGGATAAAGATGTTCACACATATATCCAGAATGCCTGCAGATCAAGAATCCAGGCATAGCTACTGAGTCTTCTGTTACAGATCTCACAAAGCTACAGTTAAGGTGTCAGCCATACTGCCTCCTCTTCCAAAGGATTACCTATGGAATTACCTGCTTCCAAGCTCATTCAGGTTGTGGATCTAATTCATTTCCTGTGGTTGTAAGAACAAGGTCCCCAGTTATTTGCTGACTGTAAGCTGGAAGCTGCCTTCAACTCCTAGAGGCAACTGGCCTCCAGATCCTTCTGTGAAATTCTTCAATGTGGTTCCCTAATGCATTGAACCTGCAAGAAAACTCTAGCTCTAATCTGCTGGAATCTTTTTTAACTTAGCACACTACAGGCATAACATCTCATTACCTTTGCTATATAGCATGATATAATAAAAACTCATCAGGACAGTATCATTTTATCACCTTTTCCATATTCTACTGGTGAGAGCAAACCACAGATCCTGTCCAGACATAAGGAGACAGTAATACTCAGCAGCGTGAACATCAGGAGGCCAGAAATTATTGAGGGGTAACCTTAGTGTCTGTCTGCCACACACTCCATAGACAAACTGCTAGAAAGTAAAGATAAGGAGAAAATCTTTGCAAAACTTTGCAAGCTGATCGATTGTTGAAGATGTTGAAGATGGCCATTATTGAAAATTAAATTATAAAAATTACAATTAAGCAATTTACATTAAAATAAAATTAATAAATACTTTAAAAGAATCACCTTACAATTACTCTACTATACTGTACTATTTTCTATGTTCTTGAGGATATTTACATTTTTTTTTTTTGTGGAACTACTCTATAATGGTGTGCTACTTCACCTTTCCTCCTAATTCTGCATTCAATGACTTTATGTTATTATACTGAAATCAACCATAGTAAAAATGTTTACACTCCAGAAATGAGCAAATGTTACAACTGAGAATCAGAGCTATTTTTGTTGTTGTTGTTGAAAAACAATTGGTATGCATTTACCAGCATAACCCTAATTACAGGTAGAGTAAATTTAAGAGTTGTGAGATTATGCTTACATAGCATCTTTGCATTTTAAAATTAAATTTATAAACACACACATAATTGGAAGTAGAATTGTCTGCATTGTACTTTTTGATAAAGTTTTTTTTTTGTTTGTTTGTTTTGACAAAGTCTCGCTCTGTTGCCCAGGCTGGAGTGCAGTGGCGTGACCTCAGCTCACTGCAACCTCCGCCTCCTGGGTTCAAGCGATTTTCCTGCCCCAGTCTCCTGAGTAGCTGGGATTACAGGCAGACGCCACCATGCCCGACTAATTTTTGTATTTTTAGTAGAAATGGGGTTTCACCATGTTGGTCAGGCTGGTCTTGAACTCCTGACCTCGTGATCCGCCTGCCTCAGCCTCCTATAGTGCTGGCTGGGATTACAGGCAAAGTTGTTCTTTCAGAAGAGAAGATTTTCCCACACTTTCTTTTCAGCCAAACTTACTGTCTAATCAGATTGTTGCCTCATGTCTCCTAGATCTTCTTATCTTTTCTTCTCGCAATGTTGTGAAGTCACAGGAAAAGTACGTTAATGAATGCCTATTGCATTCATTAAAATATGTTCACTTTTTTGAGTTGTGGCAACAAATATATTTGAGATCTCTCAGAAAATGCAAAAACAGAATTACAAATATGTCTCCTTTTAGATACATACTCATCTTTATGTAAAAAATAAGTAAAGCAAATCACTTGAATTTAAAAGTATTTCATTTATTTGGATCTCAGGTGAAATACATTGGTCTTTATTAACGGTAAGAGGGATTGACAACCTGGTTAACTGAGGTCTGGTCAGCTTACCAATGAGTTTTGAATCATAGGTATCATTTAATATTTAGTGTGATTTTATTCTGTACTGTGTCAATAGCAGCACATCGTGGTTATGTCTTTTATATTAAATATAGATATAGTCTCTTCTTGTCATCTTTAAATCTTCCTAACATTATCAAAAGTATGTTTCTCAGAGCTATAATTTTAGGAACAATTTATTGATAATCAAGAAACATTAAAAACAAATATATGTAGGGTACGGAGATTCAAATTATACTTATTTTTGTTAGTCACTACAAAAAGAATGGGATTTAAGATAAACATATTGCTTGATTTATTAGTGTTATGCTTTTTTATTTGAAGCCAAATGTTTGTGTTCCACAATATTAACAAAAATATCTCTGTGTAGCTTCTTATTTTTAAAAACCCTCTGTAGTATTTCAGAATTAAAAGCTAAAATGCATTTCTGGAAAGGGAATTAGGAATGTCTTGTTTTAGCCAATTTATTTGGTTCTATCCAATGAAAAGTTGGCATATAATACGTTATAAAATGTATAAAACTTCTAGGCTCTTAATCATTCATTCTATCTCATAAATCCCATTTGCCAGCTTGGTTTCAGTACTCTGAGTTACTTTGGAAGCCACATACTGAAGAGGT
Source organism: Homo sapiens (assembly GCF_000001405.40). Taxonomy (NCBI): domain Eukaryota; kingdom Metazoa; phylum Chordata; class Mammalia; order Primates; family Hominidae; genus Homo; species Homo sapiens. The sequence continues at coordinate 116,284,758 of NC_000004.12, forward strand.
CAAATCTTCCATCACCCTCAGTTGCTGAATGGCTTTACAAAACAACATACCTCTGTGGTGCTGGTTCGATTTATTTGAAAAATAAATGTTTACTATGTTAAGTGTAGCTGCAAAAAAAGATTATAGAGTAAATTTCACAGAGGACTTCTTTGTTTTATTTGGAAATTTTCATCCTGAAGAATGAAGTCCCTTTCTCATCAAGAACGGCCACCTTAAAATCAATTTCCCACAGAACCAGTAGTTTATCTTTATCTCAAAGGTAAGGTATACTCAATCTCGGCTCATATTTAATGTCTTAAATTCAGAATACATTGTAATTCCATGAGAAGAGGGCATAGAACCTCTTCATTGGGAATTCTCCCAGACCATGCCTCATGTGTCTCTTCATTTCATATGTCTCCTAATTTGTATTCTTTATAATAAAACTGTAATCATAAGTATAGCAGATTCCTGATTTGTGTGTCTTTCTAGAAACTATCAAGCTTCAGGGGGTCATGAGAACTCCTTGGATGCGTGACCAGTTGATTAGAAGTTCAGGTGGCCTGGGGACCCCAAATTTGTGGCTGTCATCTGAAGTGTGGCTTTAACTTATGGATTTGTTAAATCCATCTAAAACTTGTGGATTTTAACTTATGGCAGTCTTTAACTTATGGATTTGCAACTAACTCCAGGTGGCTGGTGTAAGAATTATTTTCAGTATTGCAGCTATATGAGGAAGCCTAAGCCTAGAATATTGAAATGTAAAAATAAAAATTGGAAATATAAAATAAGTTCTATGTAGATAAATTTTCAGGAAAAAATGAATTTCTTACAAAATAACAAGAAGGCAAAAAAAAAGATTCATTTTAAGATTCATTTGGGAAATCTTGTGTTAAAAAAAATGAAAACATTTTTCCTTCTTTCTCAATATCCTGAGATTTTTTTTTTGAAGAATTTAGGTGCATCAAGTCTTCATACCATTATGAAAAAAAAAAATGTGAGCCATCTGAAGCTTCAGTTAACAGGTTAACTCGGGTAGGAAATGCCAGACAGTTTTTCTCCCTTTTCAAATCAGTTTGATCCTTTCTCAAACTGAGAACTTAACTTATTTGTTAAAAATTTCAGACTGTTTCCATATTGCCTCAAGGACCAAAGGCAAAGGAGCATTCAGTGAAGACTAAAATTTACCTAGGCCATACCCCTGTTCTCTTCTCAGGGATTGAGTATAGATTCCCAGTTACTCCCTAATAAAATTTTACATGTTCATTGTTATCCTTTTTGTTTTATATAATTCAGGAAATGATGCTTTTGCTATTTTAAAATAGAATGACTCAGGGATGTTTTACTAATTATTTCCTTGTGTAATATATATTAGTTCACGAAATATCTCATTTTAATCTTTTTCTATAATTGCAAGTATTTTAAAGAAAGCAATCATTGCATATTTAATAGAACACAATGCAAAAAAAGGATAAAAGTTGACCAAGTGAAGAAAGAATGAGACAGTTATATATTTACAAATTTATCATTATTCCAAAGAGCATGGTATACATGTTAAATGTCAAACAAAAAATGTTTAAAACACAGGCTACAAGCATTTTTCATTCTTGCCCTTTTATCTTTTACCACCTCAAAATTTATGACAGAATAAAATAAACATAAGCTCCCTTATATATTTTTTCCAAATGATTCTTTTTTCTTTCTTTTTTTTTGCTTGTCCAGCATTAAAGAATGTTTGTATAATCCAATGTAAAGGAAATCAATACTTCCAGATTGCTCTTTAAGTAGAATAAGTTTTACAAACTAATCAAGGGAGTAAATCATCAAAGAATAAATATTAAATAACTGTTCATCAAACTACAAATTTAAAGTTCAAAGTATTAGCCTTACAATTTCCAAATCAACATATTGATTCCTTAAATGCAATATCTAGCTCGCTTTAAGGGTACTACAAGTAAAGTACTGAAAAAGTCTTACAATATCAACATCCATTTTTTATTGGCTAGTTATCGCTATTTAATTCTGTAACCAAATTAGCATGTTTGAGACAATATATTAAATTCAAAAATTTAAAACTCTTTTGTAACATATGAATTGTTTTCATTGCCTAGGGGAATAAGTTCTTGTGTTTTTTTTGTAATCACAATTATTAATATAGTATATTTCTAATATCCCAATGAAGATTTAAAATATTATATGTACTAGATTGATTCTATTTCAATTTATTCTATTCAATTTTAATCCACTCATTATTCCATGAAAAATATTTGATGGCTCACATGATCTGTTTTTATAACACACTAATAATTCACCACCCTCAGTATGAAAAACATCATCTAAACAACACAGTTTATGATCACTATTGGCTGTGTTGCTCTCTATTGGCAAGATAATTTTCTTTATGTATACTATGTAGATTCAGAACCTGCCTCCCAAAAATGGTTTTCTCTACTCCTCTCTGGCTCTGATAGTAAGAAGGATAATTGTTCACCATGTGATTAAAGAGCTTCTTTTGCTAATGCTATTTTTCTTTTCCAATGAGGCTACTTAACACTTGTACTTGACTCTCATTTTGCTTTGCAAAAAATACCACAATGTTTTAAATCTCCTCTGTTATTCTATCACTAGACCACAAAATAAGGCAGAAACACATTTTAGACACTTCAATCTTGACAGCATTCTGACACTCCTATAAAGTTTATAGGTGGTGCTTTCCCTATCCTAGGTTAAACTTGGATTAGATAGCCCAGGAGAATGAGGGAGGAACTCTGAAACTAACTTTATCATAGCAGTCTGTGTTTGGGGGAATAATTTCTCCTAGATGAGTGTCCAAACTGTGAACTCTTTATTCATATAAATCTGGGATGTAGGAAAAAATTTTTAAAAATATACTGGTGATGTTATTGTAAGATACAATTTCAAGTATATTGAACATTTACTTATTTCGGTGGATCCTGAGTATGTGAACTGACTTAATTCTGAAAACTGTGTAAGAAACCATGACTTCAATATCTAATTCCAGGTCAGACTTCTGTTAACATGACTGAAATAGTTATAGTCATACCAATTAGTAGAATACCACATTAGTATCCATTTATTTTGGTCCAGGAATGCTGTGCACATTTGAGCAAAATTAAAGATTCCTTCTGATGTAAATTCTTGTTATTAACTGGCTTTACCTCTTTTTGGATCCACTACTTCGGCACTGTAATACAAATATGCAGTCTCTGGTGCCCCAGATGATCTCTTTCTACTAAAAACCTAGAAGCAAATTTTAATAACACCATCTCCCAACAGGATCACAACCCACTGAAAATAATCAATACAATGATATACACGGAAACTAGTGTCCCCCTTGGTTAAATGTTTCTCAAGATGATTATCTCTGGGCTCTCTCCTCAAATATAGTTTGGGCAAGAGTGGATATATCCAAAATCTCTTGCTGCTTTCTCTAATAATTTTTCTCTAATTTGTCACCTTAATCTTCTTTTTTTTTTGACTAATATAAATGATTTAAAAGTATAAAAAGACAAGTCACAGGCTAATATAAATGGCCAGCAAATCACATATTTGAAAAATAATTTGAGTTCAGGATATACAAATAAATCTGAAAGGTCAATAAGAAATCAAAGAAACTAAAAAACAAATGGACAAATGTCTAAATAGACATTTTTCCAAATAATATACACATACAGAAAATAGGCACATAAACAGATACCTAATATAATTAGTTATTAAGGAAACCCAAATTAAACCCACAATATAATTGTTTATATATATATATATATATATATATATATGCCTAAAATTAAAAAAAATCCAACCATACCAAATAATTTTGGTGAACATGTGATTCAAATGAAATGCTCATGAAATTGCTGGTAGGAATATAAAGTGGCACAACTACCTTTGTAAACAGTCACCATTTAACTAAAATCTAAAAATACACCTGCCATAGGACACAGATATTGCATTCCTAGGTATTTCAAAACTGAAAGTGTTTTTTTCAAACAAAGCCTTCTGCATAAATACTTGTAGTGGCTTTATTTTTATTTTCGATAGTCAAAAACTGGAAGCAATGCAGTCTACCAACATGTAAGTGAGTAAACAAATTGCATTTCCATATAATGGAATACTATTCTTCAATAAAAAGAATAAATTATTGATATATATAATTATAGTTTGGATCTCTCAAAATAATTATATTAAGTATGTCGACTGAAGAATCACAAGGTTAAAAAATTTGCAAAGGAGAACTTTGTTTCTTCTAAAGGGTTGTATCCTGCAAAGTGGCAATTCGGACAGGCTAGGAAGCACAGTCTCTGACAGAATCTGGAAACCAGCACTTCGAGTGAGAGAAGAATAAGACCGGAATTTATTGTGAATAGGGTGACTTTTCATTTTTAAAATTGGGATTTGTAAAGGAAGTTTTAAATTTTGCTGAAGACTATATATTTTTTGTTGTTTTTACATTTATAATGTCTTTATTGAAATAAAATTGTCATAAAATAAAGTAAAAATATGTAAACAATTTGATAAGTTTTGGTACATGTATACACCTATAAAACCACTATTACATGTAGATAATGGACAAGTCCATCACAGCCAAAAGTTTTCTTCTGCATATTGTCAGATCTCTGCACATCCCCTTCCCCAATGCTAATCCTCTTCCCCAGGCAATGAGTAACCTGCTTCTGTCAGTTTAGATTAGTTTGCATTTTATGGAATTTTACATAAACAAAATCCCAAAATATCTACTCTTTTGGTGTGGCTTTTTTCAGTTGAGACATAAAAATAAAATCTTAAACCTCCCAATCAACTGAATGAATCCTAATCTCCATCTTGGCCAAGGGGAACCCAGAGAAACTTTAAAAACTGAGTTCCTGGCCATGACAGAATGGGAGGTTGGATACACCTCAGTATGATTCCTCTTTATTAATCTTTAACCAGAGTGCTTTCCTAAGGAGTAAACAGAAACCAGCTCTGAAAAACAAAAAATATAAAGCACATTCCTTTGTCTCCTTATGCCAGTCATCTGAAGCCAACAGCAGATGTGACAGCTCACCAGATTTACAGTGCATCTCTTCCTAAAAAGTGACCATGATCACCAGACTAGTTTGGAGAGGATGCACAGAGACGGTTTTTGCGTCCTTGGCTTCACCTTTTGATGTCAGTGTGTTGAAAACTCCACTCTTAGATCATGCTCACGCTGCCATTTTTAAATCATTCGACTCATGAAGAGGCACAAAGCTCAATTGCACATGTGCACATTTCTCCTTTTATAATTATGACTCCACTTATGGATTATTAAATATGTATATTCAGCCACCCTATTCACCTCAATCTTCTTTGAGGCCATGTTCCTGTTAATGAAGCAAGTAAAGATTGGGATAATTGGAACCACACACTGATGTCCCAGTTGGTCCACTGAATCCAGATTGTGGAGGAAAGTACTCATTTTTTTAAAACTGACTGTAGCGTAAAATTGTAATATTCTCTCTTTTTTGTTTTCATTATCCTCAGAGTTTATTTATACATTTAGCAATTTCCTGAGGTTTGTGTTTTTAATCCTGTGTTTATACATCTCACAGAGACAGGCTAATATTTAATTCTACTGATAGTCTTAGGGGAAATGGGGTTTGGGGCATGGGGAGCATCAGCTCCCCACTGTAGGGAACTTACCTTAGGCAAGAGAATTGTTATTAAAGCAAGATATGAGTTTCATCATTCAAGGGAAGCACTACTGCTTCTTCTGGCAAAGCGAGCTTGATGGCACGGAGGTTCAGGGAGCACTTAGTTACCCAGATCCTCCCACATAATATATTCTTGGAGCCACACTCTTCCAATCATTGAACCAATTTCACTTATGCAATCTGGTGGGACCATCATCTCACCCACTATTTCAAATCAGATACCAGAAGGATCATGAGAATGAATATTTTTACTCAGCTAGAAAAGATCTCTGGTGCTCATAAAATTCCGTATTCTCTACTTTGTAAATTGAACTAATAATTTAATGATCTGTGCTTGTGATTGAACCATTAGTATTATTAGAGGAAATTATGCTAATCTTAGTTATTGAACTTATCATGGTATTTATATTGTTCTAAGGCAATAAACACTCAATTCAGTAAAATATTTATTTTAAATAATTCTTCATTCTAGTCAACTAAAGATTAACTGAAGATTTTTTTTACTTTTATTTATTTATGTATTCATTTATTTATTTGCTTCTCCTCATCACCTTATTTCCCCAGCCCCTCCAATAGTTTTGAGAGATATCTTGAGTGGTTTCTGCTTTCCTAATCAGACACTATTGATCCAGTCTACCCCTGTAAACATGGAGGATTTGCCTGGTTTCTCTTTTTGATGAGTCTTTCTTCCTAAACATCAGTGAATAATTTACTTCTGAGATGCCTTAAAAAACAACAATCTGACATGCTATTCCAAGTAAGAAACCAGTGGTTGTAAAATCATGTGTACATAATTTTGCCTAGGAGATTAGAATTATGTAGAAATATGTACCCCATCAGGATCTAACCTTATTTGGCTCAAAAGAAATGTATGCCATAGGGCTTAATTATATATATATTTTTATTTTCAGTTAATTTTTTCCATGTGTTTAAAGTGGAACATGTGCATGAGCAATAAATCTGAACTTAGGTTTTTTAATGATTAAGGTAAAATAGTCCATCCTTGGGAAAAAAATGAATTTATTGTAGAAATACCATGATTTTATCACCTTATTTAGAAATACATTTAACATATAGTTTTGAAAATAACAGTAATGGGTAAATTTTAAAAGTGAACACAATATAGAATATTTTATGCTTATATATTTTGAATAGAATTGCTTATTATCTAGAGGTTTTGTCTTAAGCAGTAGTATAGGCAAGAAATCAAATATTAATGAAATATCAGAAAAAAACAAAATTCCTTCTAAAATAGATATATATCTATTACTCAGTTTTACGACACACTGATCAATATTTTTACTCCTCAAAGGCTTAACATGGTTTATTTAAATTTTGACAGATTAGTTTTATATTATATAAAAGAATTTCATTATCTTATCCATCAGTGGGCACTCTCAACTTTAACCTAAACACTGGATTGTATTTTGGGTAGAATACCATATATTTATTTATAATTTATAGTTGAGTCCTTGTCTATTCACCATCATTACAGTAAAATTTTCTAGTTGACTGCCATTAAATAGGCAAAATAAAACACCTTGGATTTTGAATCTTACTTGTAATTCCATCAAGCATTCTTAATATGAAACCACATTGTTAGCAATTTAAAATCAATGTGCAATAATTTCCAAGAAAACCTATTGTGTTTGGAGAATTTATGTTATAAAATGAGATTCAGTTAACATTTTGTGAAAAATTTGTAAATGTCAGTGCTTACAAATGATTTGAAGAAGTATAATTTTCTTACTTCAAATTATTTTTTGTTGTTAAAATCTACAGGAGGTAAGTAAAGTACCAGTGAGATTGACGTAAAATTTAGATAAGCCAACCGATCTGTAAACCAAAATTACAATATCTCAATTGAAATAGACCCGAATTTTGAATCAGTATACTACATAACTTGTTAAAACAAAAAGTAATCACACAGCAAATAAAATGCAAATAGACTTTTATATCATTCTGGTACAACATTCAAAGAATAGACTTGGACCATTTACTTTCTTTTCTCTTTGATATAGTTTGATTTTGAAGACGCAGTATAATAATCACTTAAGAGTGTCATTATTATTATCAAAGACATAAAATGCAGAAGGAACTCCAAATAGTCAATAAATTCATTTTTTCCCAAGGATGGACTATTTTACCTTAATCATTAAAAAACATAAGTTCAGATTTATTGCTCATGCACATGTTCCACTTTAAACACATGGAAAAATATAGTACTAATATTTAATAAGAATTTCTAGACATTCCTGGGGTGTATGATTTAGAATACATTTACAAGCTGAGTAAACACTGTTTGTCATCCATTGACTCAGCGAAGTCTCACCAGTGCCATTTCCAGAGCCTAATTGCTATTAAAAAGATGATACTAGGTCATCAAATCATTTCCAGACAGTATCTCTATCCACTCATTCATATCTGTAATTTTAAGGCATAGTACGATGGTCATGTAGAAAAGCAAAAATGTTGTCATCGACTATAAAGGTGGTGGTACCATTGAGGTACTTCTGCACAATTGAATGAATCTTCTTTTTTTCCTGTTTCTATTATGTTAGCATGATGGAAAACCATCACTCTGTACTCACCATAACTGAATGAAATTATATCTTACAAGATATTTGTTTTAAATCAATGTGTAAATATAACAGACAAAATATAAATTATCATTAAAAGAAATATGGGAGGTTTCATGTAGACAGTAATTATTACATTATTTTAAATAAAATTTCATACTCCTGGATGTCCTAAAGTCATTGTAGAAAGTCTCTCACTTATGACGTGTCAGTTAAAATTCAACAGTAATTCATAGTAATGATTTTAAATTTAAAATTGCATTTACCCACAGAAACTAGGTTGAAAATTTTGAGAAGATGCTAGGACATTTCAAAACACATTATTTTTTGAGCTTTTAATGAACATGACACATTATACTCTTAAGATCATTTAGCTATAAATTTTCATAATTTAACAATAAAGCTTATTATTTATCATATCAATTTTTAATGAATGCAGATGAAAGTCAAATACACTTTGAGTGAAATCTTAGAATGGCACAGTACATTGTATAACCTTGGTAGATTCTCGACTAGGGACTTCATAAGCTTATTATGTGAGTGACAAGATGGATCTATATCTACCCAATGGCACTGTTGGGTGCTTATTTGTAAATATCTAGAGCATTGTTCGATGATGCACATATAAAAGACCTCAAAATTGTTTGAAGAGATAAAATAATTAAATAAAATGATTCAGTATTTAACAAATTTTTTATCAGATTTATGTTAGGTGGTTTACCCCCAAATTTATACAGTTGGCTTCAAAATACATCCTTTAATTTTTATGTAGTGTTTTCATGTGTCCTTATTAAGTCTAATAAGAGACTTAATTCACATGACATTTCCTACAAAATTATTCTCTCCTCTTATTTTTATACTAAAATAATATTTTATACTTTTATACTTATATTTAACATTTGTACTTATTTTTATACTATACCATTGTTTGATTAGGTACTATATCTTCCTGGCTAGGAGCCTTATTTTTAAATGACTCCTCTTTTCTATAATCTCCACATAAAAGTAATTACCAAATCCAGCTTGAATGATATCTGCAACATGTTCCTTGTATTTTCTATCAATTTCTATCCTGGCTTAATTATTATCCACTGGAAAATTTAAATCATCTACCCACCTGTGACCCATACCACAAAATGCATTTTCTCAAAGTTCTGATCACTTTCTGGCTTTAAACATTTTTTCACTCTCCTCTGTAACCTTGTTCCATTTTGTGCGGGGAAAGACTGCACCAAGTTTATACTGTAACTTTGTGTGAAGAAAGAGGAAGAGGAGGAGGAAGAGCAGGAGGAGGAACAGGAGCAGGAGAAAACATTATTTTTTAGGTGGATTGATGATGAAATAATAATAATAAAAAAAAAGCTCCTCTTTGGGGAGGACTAATTAGAAAATGAAGCCCCTTCCTCAGGACTGATGTAGCCTCATGCCATGGCTCATTGCTTGACATGGCACACCAACAAGGTGACCCTGTGAAGACTACAGCCTACAGCCTACTTAACTACACACAGTTGCACTAGTTAACATGGCCCCTTTCTATCTCCAGTAACATTCCTGAAGTTTAGTTCTTTTGTTGAGAACATTGTAATAACTACCTCTCCAATTTCCTGCGCTATCATTTTATTACACAGATTTTCTCTCTTCCTTCCTTGGAAATTTCTGATAGTTTGATTATCATCACATGAAACTTCTCATTCAATATTTCTCTTGTCTATTTTCATTTTCTTATCTCTTACTGTATTTTTCTTCCCTTATTCTGTTATCAATTTTAGTATATCTTCTACTTTCAATTTTTTTGTTTGTTTGTTTTCAAACACATGCATGTCAAGTATTATGTAACGAAGTCCATTGATTACTTTTCCAACTTGCTATTATCAATTCTGAGGCAGTCCTGGTGCCTCTAGCTTGGTTGTGCAGCTTTCAAATTCTATTCAGTAGGAGCTTACAGGGATGTGATGGGCAGCATGTAATGTTTCTTAAGCTTGAAATTACTGGTTTTACATTCCCTGAGTTAAGTTTCTAGAGCATACCTCACAAAGCCCATACCTGTTTTTTAACTACATTGTGTAATAATTTTATAAAAAATGGTTTAATGCTATCATTTTTACTGCTTTTATTATGATGCTTTATAATTTATCGGCTGTGTGAATAAGTAGCCTTTAAACGATGATTTGTTGTTTTCCATAGAAGTGAGCTTATTATTGATTCATGACTTTCCATGAGAAAGATGAAAATTGATCTGATCTGATTATAACATAACTTGCAAAATCACCAAATAATCTCTTTACATATTAGCGCTTTATAAAATCAAATACTTCATTTATGCTTGGGGAGAAGTGGAGGAAGTCCACAGAATTGGTATAGATGACTTTTAAAAGTTCTGATTGAGTCTGGTCAATACAAATCATACTTTTTTTTCCTTTAAGTGTGCTATATTATCTCAAATCATAATAGCATGCATTAGTACAGTAGTTTCTGGCAACTTACATTGATTATATTTGTATTATAGAAACTTTACTACTAATAATAAACATCTTTATAGCTCTTAACATTTTTTGGAGGAGTTTACTGTAATACATATTGTTTTATTATCACATAACATAATCTATAGGTGCTATCATTAATATTACAGAGATATGGAGACTCAAGTTTATACTGTTTAAGCACATAATTGTACAGTACATATCCTATTAGCAGAAGATCCACAAATGAAACATGAAATGTTTTGCTGAAAGTTTATTGTGCTTTCTACTAGAGCAGAAGGCCTTAGATTATTTGTCTTGTCTGAAACCATTTATAAACTATCATGCTAGTCATAATAACAGGAAATTCATATTCCTTGGCAATTTTGAAAGAGAGAATGATAACTTCAGATTTGAGACAGTACATATTAAGCAGTCTAATATTTTATAAGTATATATAAAATGGAAATGAAGCTCTAGAAATGATTGGACCTAATGATACACCTTTTAGGTGATGCTGTAATTAATGGATTATTTCACTCTCAAGAGTATCAAAGGCATAGGGAGATGAAAAATAAAGGTTTAGGAATAGGAACACTTATATGAAACAAAATCAGGAAAGAATTTTGGAAAATAGTCATTAGAGTATAAACACAGTCCAGTCTTGGAGGTTTCTTTTTAATGAATTTGGACAACTTGAAAAAACATACACTTGGTAATGTACTAGCGTCTATTTTTAATAGTTAACTGGAAAAGTTTAATGAGAATTCAGATATACTGTATTTTACTATGCGAACTAAACTAAGTAAAATCATAAAATATATAAACCTATCTTTTCCTATTATGTATACTGATGTTTAAAATGCTAATTAGTATTCTTCTACAGTGAGAAGACAATTTCATTGCACATCATGTTACGTTTATTCCTGTGTATGTTGTTTCCTCTATCTACTGATATTTACAGAATTCTTAGGTTTTTTTTTAATATTAACACCTCCTAAATTATGATCTTCCACAAGCATAGTCCACATGCATAGAAGCACATATTAATAACTTCTTAATCAACTATCACACATCTACTATTGACTGTACAATAAAATCTAACCCACGTGGATATTGACCCATACTGTAAATCACAGTGCATACATTCGTTCATCGGACATAGCACATTTCAGTCAAGAAATCCCTCGTCAACATGTATATCCCCTATCAAATTTTGCTCTCTTAATCTACCAACCACTGAGAAATCATCATCCCTCTCAGGAGTGGCACCCTCCTGGTTCCAGGCCCATGACACTTGGGGGTGACTATACTGAAACCATACCTGGCATCTGGTTCTTACTTCAGGGCCATAGAATTAAGATCGCCCACACGTTCCCCTTAAATAAGACATTTCCATGGACTAATGACTACCACCCTATTAACCAGTCACAGGAGCACTGTCATGTCATGCATTTGGTACTTTTAACTTTGGGGGATGCTATCACTCACCTGGTCCCTGCCGAATCCGCAGTAGAGGAACTCGGATTTGATTCCTGCCAAATCAATTGTAGAAGCTAACCTTATATTCATATTCCAGGCTGGCATTATAACCAGAAGGTGTTACTTAATTCATGCTTGAAGGACATAACAATTAATAGACACGCAAGCCTGTACCGACGCTCACGCCCGTACCGACGCTCACGCCCGTACCGACGCTCACGCCCGTACCGACGCTCACGCCCGTACCGACGCTCACGCCCGTACCGACGCTCACGCCCGTACCGACGCTCACGCCCGTCGCATGCACTCTGAATTTCAAGAACTATTTCCGATTAAATCTGCAATACCCCCTCCCCGCATCTCTGACTTTACTATCAACCTAGCTAAATGTATCCTTGCCAAACCCCAAAAACAAAAGACTAAAATGCAGCCCAGTCAGAGCCCAGAAATCATATTTTAACCATGAACGCCTCAACAGCTACCCCTCGATTGATGTAATTTTTCTAAAAAATCTTAACACCCTCCTACTAAATTAATCCTCCACTTTGTATAATAAATATAATAACTAAATTTCTGCCCTAATACTAATATAATACCTTGAGCATATCCCCCGAAAGCATTGCCCCATATATCATCTCCTAAATCAATCATACTCTTGATTATGAGTGATCTTCTTAGCCAAACCTCTGCCAATTCAACTTTAAAGACCCTGAATTTCCAGAACTGTAAACGACTATTTTTATTTATTTATTTATTTCTCATATTTTAATATTTACACTTAAGAATTTATGCAGTTAATGTAGCTTAATTATTCAAAGCAAGACACTGAAAATGTCTAGATGGATCCGCACAACCCTATAAACAGAGAGGTTTGGTCCTGGCCTTTTTACTAGCTCTTAGTAAGATTACACATGTAAGCATCCCTGCCCCAGTGAAAATGCCCTCTAGGTCACCCGGATCAAAAGGAGCAGGTATCAAGCAAGCATGAATACAGCTCAAAACAACTTTGCTCAACCACACCCCCATGGGAAACGGCAGTGATAAATCTTTAGTAATAAACGAAAGTTTAACTAAGCTATACTAATATTTAGGATAGGTCAATTTCGTGCCAGTCACCGCGACCATATGATTAACCCGAGCTGACAGAACTCAGCGTAAAGAGTGTTTAATTAAGGTCTACCCTCAATAAAGCTAAACTCCAATTGAGTTGTAAAAAACTACAGCTGAAATAAAATATACTACGAAAGTGGCTTTAATACCCTGAAGACACAATAGCTAAAACCCAAACTGGGATTAGATACCCCACTATGCTTAGCCCTAAACTCTAATAGTTACATTGAGAAAACCATTCGCCAGAGTACTACAAGCAACAGCTTAAAACTCAAAGGACTTGGCGGTGCTTTATATCCCTCTAGAGGAGCCTGTTCTATAATTGATAAACCCCGATACAACCGCCTTGCCACCTCTTGCCCGCAGCCTATATACTGCCATCTTCAGCAAACCCTAAAAAAGTTACAGAGTAAGCACAAGTACACATATAAAAACATTAGGTCAAGGTACAGCCTATGAGGTGGCAAGAAATGGGCTACATTTTCTATATCCGGCAAATCTCACAACAACCTTTATGAAATCTAAGGGCTCAAGGAGGATTTAGTAGTAAACCAAGCGCAGAGTGCTTGGTTGAATAAGGCCATGAAGCATGCACACACCGCTCATCACCCTCCTCAAATATTACTCTAGAAATCACTATTACTAAAAACTTTCTATGCACATACAGAGGAGATAAGTTGTAACATGGTAAGCGTACTGGAAAGGGCGCTTGGACAAACCAAAGTGTAGCTTAACCCAAAGCATCCGGCTTACACCTGGAAGATTTCATCATGATCTGTTCACTTTGAGCCAACGCTAGCCCCAAACCTCGCTAAAAATATTATCAAACTATCTTAATCAAACCATTTACATTAAACGAAAGTATAGGTGATAGAAATTTTTACCCTGGTGTAGTAGACATAGTACCGTAAAAGAAAGGTGAAAGAACTATATAAAGCACTAAAAAGCAAAGACAAGCTCTTATACCTTCCGCATAATGTATTAACTAGAAGTAACTTTACACAGAGGATTATAGCCAAGTCCCCCAAAACCAGATGAGCTACCCAAGAACAACTGAAGAGTACACCCATCTATGTGGCAAAATAGTTGGGAGATTCATGACTAGCGGTGACAAGCCTACCAAGCCTGGTGATAGTTGGTTGTCCAACGTGGAATCTTAGTTCAACTTTAAACTTACCCACAGAATTATTTACTCTCCCTGTAAATTTAGCTGTTAGTCTAAGAGGGACAGCTCTGTAGACCCTAGGAAACGACGTTCCTACAGAGAGTAAAAAATACTACCACCATAGTTGGCCCAAACGCAGCCACCAATTAAGAAAGCATTTAAAGCTCAACATCTAACTATCTTCAATTCTAATCACTCTACTGAACTCCTAACATCATACTGGACTAATCAATTACTTAATAGAACCAATAATGTTAATATAAACATTCTCCATTGCATACGTTTACATCAGACTGGAATAACCCACTGACAGTTAACAACCTAATATTAATAAATGATATAATAAGCACCCTATTATTTACACTGTTAACCCAACTAAGGTATGCTCTAAGGAAAGATTGCAAAAAGTAAGAGGAACATGACAAATCTTACCCCACCTGTTTACCAAAAACATCACCTCTAGCATTACCAGTTTTAGAGTCACTGCCTGCCCGGTGACATATGTTCAACGGCCATGGTATCCTGACCGTGCAAAGGTAGCATAATCGCTTGTTCCCTAAATAGGGACTTGTATGAATGGACACACAAGGGTTCAGCTGTCTCTTACTTTTAATCAGTGAAATTGACCTATCTGTGAAGAGGCGGATATAAACAAATGAGACTAGAAAACCCTATGGAGCTTTAATTCATTAATGCAAATAAAAACCCAAACAAGTCTAGAGGCCCTGGCCTACTATCCCTGCATTAAAAATTTTGGTTGGGGTGAGCTCGGAGCATAGTTCAACCTCCGAACAACCTAAACTAAGACTGCAGTAGTCTAAGCGAGTTAGTACACATTGACCAAATAATTCAATCAACGGAATAAATTACCCTACGGATAAAAGTATTGACAATAGGGTTTACAACCTCGATGTTGGATGAGGACATCCTAATGGTGTAGCCGCTATTAAGGGTTCGTTTGTTTAACGGTTAAAGTTCTATGTGATCTGAGTTCAGACCTGAGTAATCCAGGTCAGTTTCTATCTATATAACATTTATCTTAGTATGAAAGGACAAGAGAAATAGGGCCCACTTCATAAAGTGCCCTCACTCCATATAGTCTTCCATGCAAAGAAAAATTCATATATTGTCAAAACCACTAAGATTACTAAAAAGTATTTTTCTCAATGTAGACATATGTATCAGAAAAACAGAAAAATGTTTACAGATAACATATAAGCAACAAAAATCTAGAAAACTAATCTTATTTATCATATATATATTTCTATATATACATGTAAGGTAGTTTACATCATGTAAATTACCCTTATTTCAAATTTACATGTACCATGTACATGTACAATACCCTGAAAGAGACTGTCATTAATGCTGGTCATGCCACAGCTGTATCATTTCAATGACCAGAAGCTTGCCTGGTCATCATGGAAGTAGTACACTTTTCATGACTTTATGTTATTTCAACTGTTGTTTTATCTCTATGTTTCTGTATGACATGTCTAGAATGGTACATATGCTCCTAGGGTATGATGTATTTTAAATCAAAACATTTATATAAAATCAATTTTAATTTAGATTTGAATAGTTTTCTGTTATCTATGACTTGTAGTTATACATGATTTTTTTCTCCCACATTACCCTTGCTATTGAGACTCTCATATTCGATCAATTGTATCAGCACCATTTAGTCCTTCCCCACTCTGGAGGTGCAGATTTTAAATATATGCTCAATTATTACATAACTAATAAAATTCATGGTATCATGTGTACCAATTTTTGCAAAAAGACATTTTGAAAGTAAGTCTATCATTCAAAAGTCATTGAAAACACATTTTAATGTCTAATTATGATAAAAAAATTCACACTTGCATTTGTTTTGAGAAATGAATCTGTTATTGTCAGCAATTTAATATGGCATACTGCAAGAAAGTTACTGCTTTCTGACAACATAAAAATTCATAGCTCTCATAAAGAAATGAGTCTGAAACATGGGAAATTTCCCATGCTAAGCATTTAACTTACAACATAGTCATAAAATTAATAATTATATTCCAATGAAGACAATGGCAAGCTTTTTAAGCTTGAATGTTGTTAAAAAGGACTATATTGGACAAATTACCATATAAACACTAGAGAATTCTAATATAGACCTGACAAAAATGGACCTTTATTATAATATAGACTATAATTTATTACCTAATATTTTTAAGGCAAATTGCTTTTGAAGTTTCCCAGTTCAGAACATTCACATGATTCACTAGAAATGCTTAAGTACATACAGAACTTGCCTTTATCCTTAAACTGGGCCAATAATTTCCTCATCATCAAGTGTGTTTGCTTGTGGAACAATGAATGTTACAGGGAGTCCAGTTGATAACACCTGCCCATTCAAGTCTTTGCTTATGAAAGAACAGGCATTTTCTTCACTCTTCCTAGTCTCTTTACCTTTACACTCATCATACAAGTCAGTTTAGTATACTCGTTGATTTTCTTTTCATTTTTTTTCTATTCTTATTCTATTATCTGGATTCCAACAGAGAAGGTCCTGAAAAATATATATTTTTTTATTTTATTACACCAATTTATCTGGTTTTGAAGCACAAATATGTATTAACAACAAACTTAGTGAAGAAGGCTTGGAGCTCTTACACACGAACACATACTTTTGATATATTTTAGTTCTGTTAAAAATGTACATAGCACCTCTCCCACCCCCACACACTGCTTATAAGTATAGTAGAGAAAATGCAGTATTTCCTCAGAAGACGATGGAGAATTTTCCAGCCTCATTCCCTTTTAGGATACTTACAGTCTGAAAAAGGCATTTCATCCCATCTTGAGCCATTGAGGACAGGTAAAAGTTGGTGTCCAACATTAGACTAAGTTTCTTTGGTAATGTAAGAACTACGACAAGTCCTTCCTTCTCAATATTTTAGTTTTTGCTTTATTTTTGGTGCTATGCTAATTGGCTACAAGATATTTCTCACTATCTTAACTTTAAAAAGTGTGAGATTCTTTTTAATTTCCTAGGATATGTAGCCAAAATATTGCAGATAATATTTGGATAATATTGGTAATCAATTTTAACACACTTGAAATTAAGGAATAATTACAACTACCAAACTGAAAAAGAGCATTGGTTTTAGAAATATTTGTCAAGAAATGAAGAAGCTGGTTATTACTATGCAACAACTGAATTTCTTATTTTTAGCATATGAACATGATTAGTCTTTCAGATCTGGCATTTCATTAATTGATCTGATTTTTAGTGAACTGCCATAGTAGTCTAATATGGTTTGGCTGTTTCCCCACCTAAATCTCATATTGAATTCCCATGTGTTGTGGGAGGGACCTGGTGGGAGGTAATTGAATCATGGGGACAGGTCTTTCCCATGCTGTTCTCATAATAGCAAATAAGTCTCATAAGATCTGATGGTTTTTAAAAGGGGAGTTTCCCAGCACAAGCTCTCTTCTGTTGTCTGCCTCCATGTAAGATGTGCCTTTTACCTTCTGCCATGATTTTGAGGCCTTCCCAGCCATATGGAACTGTAAGTATAATAAACCTCTTCTTTTGTAAATTGCCCAGTCTCAGGTATGTCTTTTTCAGCAGTGTGCAAACATACTAATACAGTAAATTGGCACCAGAAGTAGTGCTTTGCTGAAAAGATATGTGAAAAATTGGAAGTGACTTTGGAACTGGGTAACAGGAAGAGGTTTTGGAGGGCTCAGAAGACAACAGGAAAATGTGGGAAAGTTTGGAACTTCCTAGAGACTTATGGAATGGCTTTGACAAAAATGCTGACAGTGATGTGAACAATAAGGTCTGGGCAGAGGTGGTCTCAGATGGAGATGAAGAACTTCTTGGGAACTGGGGCAAAGGTGACATTTGTTATGTTTTAGCAAAGAGACTGGTGGCATTTTGCCCCTGCCATAGAGATTTGCAAACTTTGAACTTTACAGAGATGATTTAGAGTATCTGGCGGAAAACATTTCTAAACAGCAAAGCATTCAACAGGTGACTTAGGTGCCATAAAGGTATTCAGTTATAAAAGGGAAACAGAGCATAAAAGTTTGGAAAATTTGCAGCCTGACAATGCAATAGAAAAGAAAATTCCATTTTCTGATAAGAAATTCAAGTCAGCTGCAGACATTTGCGTGAATAATGAGGAGCCAAATGTTAATCCCCAAGACATTGGGGAAAATGTCTCCAGGGCATGTCAGAGGTCTTCATAGTAGCCCTGCCCATCACACGCCCAGAAGCTTAGAAGGAAAAGATGGTTTCATGAGCTGGGCACAGGGCCTGCCTGCTCTGTGCTGCCTAGGGACTGGTTATTCTATGTGCCAGCCACTCCAGTCATGGCTAAAAGGGGCCAAAGTACAGCTCAGACTGTTGCTTCAGAGGGTGGAAGTCCCATGCCTTGGCAGCTTTCACATGGTGTTTAGCCTGCAGGTGCACAGAAGTCAAATATTGAGATTTGGAACCTCCATGTAGATTTCAGAGGATGTATGGAAATGCCTGAATGGCCAGGCAGAAGTTTGCTGCAGGGGTGGGCCCTCATAGAGAACCTCTGCTAGGGCAGTACAAAAGGGAAATGTAGGGTTCGATCCCCTACACAGAGTCCCTACTGGGACACTGCCTAGTGGATCTGTAAGAAGAGGGCCACTGTCCTCCACACCCAAGAATGGTAGATCCACCAACAGCTTGCACTGTGTGCCTGGAAAAACCAGTTACTCAATGCCACCCCATGAAAGCTGCCAGGAGGGCAGCTTTACCCTGCAAAGCCACAGGGAAAGAGCTGTCCAAGGCCACAGGAAGGCACCTCTTGCATCAGTGTGACCTGGGTGTGAGACATTAAGTCCAAGGAGAGCATTTTGGAGCTTTAAGATTTGACTGCCCTGCTGGATTTTGGACTTGCATTGGGCCTGTAGTCCCTTCATTTTAGCCCATGTCTTCCATTTGGAGTGGCTATATTTACCTGATGCCTGTAACCCCATTGTATCTAGGAAAAAACTAACTTGCTTTTGATTTTACAGGCTCATAGGCAGAAGGGACTTGCCTTGTCTCAGATGAGACTTCGGATTTTGGACTTTTGAGTCAATGCTGAAGTTAGTGAAGACTTTAGGGGACTGTTGGGAAGGCATGATTGGTTTTGAAATGTGAGGACATGAGATTTTGGAGGGGCCAGGGGCAGAATAATATTGTTTGGCTGCGTCCCCATCCAGATCTCATCTTGAATTCCCATGTGTTCTGAGAGTGATCCAGTGGGAGGTAATTGAATCATAGGGGCAGGTTTTTCCCATGCTGTTCTCATGGTCGTGAATAAGTTTCATGAGGTCTGACAGTTTTAAAAAGAGAAGTTTCCCTGCACAACTGTCTTCTCTTGTCTGCCACCATGTGAGACATGCCTTTCACCTTCTGCCATGATGGTGAGGCCTTCTCAACCACATGGAACTGTAAGTCTAATAAATAAATTTTATAAATTGCCCAGTCTCAGGTATGTCTTTTATCAGCAGCATGAAAACAGACTAATACATAGTCTGCTTGATCAACATTATAACATCCACAAGCCTTTTTCTGAGTTGTAGTTAAGTCAACTAATTCTTTTTTTTTTTTTTTTTTTTTGAGGTGGAGTCTTGCTCTGTCACCAGACTGGAGTGCAGTGGTGCAATCTCGGCTCACTGCAACTTCTGCCTCCCAGGTTCAAGCAATTCCCCTGACTCAGCCTCCCAAGGAGCTGGGATTACAGGCACACGCCACAACACCTGTATAATTTTTTGTATTTTAGTAGAGATGGGGTTTCACCATATTGGCCAAGATGGCCTCAATCTCCTGACCTCATGGTCCACCTGCCTCAGCCTCCAAAAGTGCTGGGAATACAGGCGAGAGCCACTGTGCCCGGCCAAGTCAACCACTTCTTAACAAACAATACCAATTATAAATCAGCATTGACTTTGTGTCACTACTGTATGGAATTAGTTATTTCTGATTTTCTAGGCTGTGTTCTACCACTCCCAGGAGAAGAGTAGTTTATCTGTTGTGCAAATAGTAGCATATTTTCCCCCTTTTTCTTGCTTAGATGTAATGATATCAATACATGTCAATATAATACAAGTATTGCTTAGATATGATGACATCAATACATGTCAATACAGTACAAGTTACTGCTTACCTTGACATTCAGTGATTTGGACTCTGAATCTTTCATGGGATGTGTAAATTCCAATCCCAAGCATAATCCCTATAGAATGTTAATCCTTGTAAAATCTCATTCAGATATGAAAATTTCTGCTTGTAGTGTATGCATTTTATGTTCTGACCACTATCAGTCCATTCCTCAGGCCCTTGAAATAATATCTAATAAAAAATTTATCTAGCTCCTGGTAGAAAATTATTCCTAAAGTTACCTGACTTAAAATCCCACTGAAACACATGTTCCTGCATCAGCAAATAATGGAACTATATTTCTCCTGACCTATGCAAGTCTGGCGTAAAACTTTCAGCAATTTGAAGCATGCATAATTAAATTAGTGCTATTTCTTGAGCACCTGATTGTACTGATGAAACTATGTTTATATGAATCACAAGTTTGAGATTCAGTACTAAAAGCAAGTAAAGAAAGCAAGAAAAAAAATTACTTCTTGCTAAAGATTTTTTTAAAGTATATTATTTTGAATACTGACCTAAACATAGGGCTATTTTAGAATGACTAGCTCAGAACATACTAACAACAAAGTAATATATTGTATTCTGATACCTTTTAACTTCCTCCAGTCCAGGAAATTCTGCAAGGACATAATAATGTGGGATCTTCCTGAAGATGAGATTAATCCCATTTGAAGTTATTCTACAAAAAAAAATTCAAACAGGTGGAATTTGTTAGTGTTAACAGGATTTGGGTTGAGAAGGAAATTCTATCTTCTGAGGCAAAAGGCATATAGAGTTTCATTTTTCCAGGATGGAGATCTCCAGTTCAGGCTGAGCAGTGAGGATTGAAATTGCCTTTGCCACAAAGTGACAGCCAGGAGGGATGTGTGCTGTCAGAGCTGCTAAGGGCCGACCCAGATATTGAGGCTAGTTTATTGTACATCTCAAAATAACTGAAAGAGTGGAATTAGAATGCTCCTAACACAAAGTAATAATAAATTCTTGAGGTGAGGGATACTCCACTTACCATGATTGATCATCACACATTGTATACTTATATCAAAATATTACATGTACCCCATAAATATATGCATCTATTATGTATCCATAATAATTAAAAAATTAAAAAAGAACTACTTCTAGAAGTGGCTTTCTGATTATTTTCTTATGTTTTCTAAAAGTGACCTTTGCACCTGAGTTGGGGAGATGAAGAGAATACTGTAAGTGAAGAAGCTTTGGGCCATTCCTTGCAAAACAAGCCTGTAATAAATGGCATAGATGTGTCAACAGTCTCAGTGCGGATGAAAAGCAGTAAAACAGTCAGTGTGACTAAAAATTAGCCATTTCAAATGTGATGTTTCCCACATTGTCCTTCTTTTATTCTTATTTTTCTTCTCTTCTATTATTATCAATTTCTTATCTAGTATATACTTTTTAATTTGATTTACAAACATATATACACATATTTAGACACAATGACATATCAAGAATTTTAAAAATATGTATCTAGCAGGATTTATTATAGATGATTGTAAGTGAAATGCCAAATAAATAGAGCTTACACAGATGAGCTTATTCACCTCATAGATAAGAGATCTGAAGATAAATAGTCCAGAAAATGAGTCCCTTCTTGCTTTCGGCTATACATACCACATTTTAATTCTTATATCCCCCTTTTACTTTTTTAGGAAATTATGGTGGCTTTAATTTGAAAATGTATCCATCAGACTTGTGTTTCAACTCCAACATGTGAAGAGCTTAGAAGTCATCATACCTGTCTTTACAACAAGAAGAAGCTGAACATACAGAAAATCAAGACATTTTCATGTGTCCACCAGAGAACTAAGGTCAGAGTAAATCGTCATGATGAAATCTGGAGAGACAGGCAAGTCCAGAGAGACACAATAAAAATCTTCTCACCTGGAAAAGACATCACTAAAGACAATAACTGGTAGGGTCTCTATACTTCTGGAAGCTGAGTGTAGAAGTGTAGAGTAAAAACTAGAGTGAGAATAAGAAAATCATATTTTTTTGCAGGATACACACATTTCTGGAGTTTACCTTCGGAAATCTCACCAGGTTCTCCCTGTGGAGATCTGAGAAAGACCCTCTGTTGGCTCTAGCAGGGTAGAAAATACAAGTGTAATCATAATGAAATATAATATATGTCATACACAGAGTCTTTTGCAAGGAAAAAGACTCAGTCCCTTCTAGACTTCCTGTCACATCAAAAGTGAAATAAACAAACACAAAACCTCATTGTAGCGTCAAGATTCCAAGCATGTACGTTGAGAACTTTTCAGCCAGGAAAAGGAGGCAGAGCCTGGTCTTGCAAGCAGAGCTATATTACTGAAGAAACACTTTTTAAAATCTCAAGGACAAGACCCAGACCTTATTAAAATATTAAGATTTAATAAAAACACATAAAATATTCCTGTTTTCCACACTTTACCACCACCCCAATAGGATTCCAGTAAAATAATAGTGGAGGTGGCTGATTAGGATAGACTCACTGATGAGATATTTAAGGAAAGGCTAAAACACCATGAGGAATTTGGCAAGGCAGGTATCTTGAGTATAAGATTTCCAGGGAGAGGGGTCATCACTGAGGCAAGAATACCACTGACTGAACCAAGAAACATCAAGGAGACTACTATAGATTAAATAAGTAGGAAGAAAAAGAGAAGAGGAAGTCAAAGTGGTAACATGTAGTCAAATCATGTACAACCTTGTAGGATATTGTGAGGGGTTAGCTTATGTGTAGTAGCAGAAAAATTTGTTAGGAAGCTGTTTTAATAATGGAAGGAAAGACAATAATGGATCTACCGAATATAGTACCAGTGTAGACACCATGCTGTGTCTATTAAATGCTGTGTCTATTAAACCATTCAGTAGGTTTTCGCTTCTTTCCCCATGTGAACTTTTTCCCTATGACTTTGTTTTTTTTCTCAATAACGCAGTTCTGCCAGCCACAAAGGCATGAAAACCTAAAATCATTTTAATTGCTTTCTGTCATTTGCTATGAATGAATATATTCCACTAATTCTAGCTCAGGAATGTCTCTTGAAAATGATTGTACATATTGGAAATCCATAAATTTATCATTATATTTTTAATTGTTCTTACAGCTATATTCTACCTACAGCACATCTTAAATACTTAACCTAGAACAATCATTATGAAGTTTTATATAATTTACCTATTCAAAAATCTTCATTGGCTCCTTATGCAGTTGAAATTAAAGCTTTTCAAGTGCTGTTGAAGTGCTTGGCTCTAATATCTACTATTTGCTCTTTATCTAAACAATGCTTCAATCCAGCACAAATTCTCACTATTTATAATATGTAAAAGATGAGTTTTTGCCTTAACAACTTTCTTATTTTGTTATCTTGGGCATGAATAACTTTCTTATGATTTAAATTTACTAGTTTAAATATTTATACTAAATTACTGTAAATAGTCAGTCTCCTTTGGGATGCCTAGAAAAATGTCTTTCACTCACTTAATATTTTCTGATCTCATGAGTAAATTATTTTACCGAAGTAATGTATTACATCATTTTAGAAAAGATAATAGTTTTAATGACTCAAATGTTTTAAGTGATTTTATCAGTAAATTTTGTCTCATTAGATGTTATAATCTAGATTATTAGCAAGGGAAAAATAATACAACAAATTAATACCAAAATTCAAATTCAAAATAAACATTTATACTGGAAAAAATGAACCAAATGCAAAATGCGAACTATATCCAACTTCTTTTCACTATAATATATGTTATACAAATTCAAATGAGTAATTACAAACACTTGGAAAACTTAGCTAAGCATTAGTTGTGCCATTGATAACTAAACAATGAGGCTTTCTCAGCTACGAATAACAGAGACAAGATGTAAAAATAATTTTAGAAGATACCACATTTTCCCTTTCAAACACTGATGTTTTGTGAGGAGAAAAAATACATCATAACTAGGCTAAAAGAACATTATGTATTGGAGTTTTTTTTTTTTCTGAATTTACCAACATCTTTGGCCCACACTTATTGGCCAGAGTGAAATTAGAAACTTCCACATAGCTTTGGCATAGTAGTGGAAAATCAGGAGGGGAACTCTATTTTTCAGGCTTATGTAAGGAAAATTGTGAGCCTATGTAAGTCTGTAGGAAGCACTTCAAACATAGTGCAAGGCAGAGACAATGAATCATTATTAGATAGTACCTAAATCGGTGAATTAAATAATTTTTTGACACACCATGGTCTTATAATTCTATGTAGAGGCTCCCTGGGTCCCAGTCTTCCCAATAAAATACATGAAATTGTTATCAAAACACCAGGGGTTTGGTCTACATCCTGCTATTCACTGCATAGAAAGTCAATCACTGAGACAACAAATGTTGCCAGGGAAAAAAGCTTTAATTGGGTGCTGCATTTGAGGACATGGGGGATCAGTCTTAAATTCTTCTCTCTGATCAACTGAAATGAGAGGTTTATGTAGCAGAGAAGAAATGTAGCTGCATGCAGAAAAACAGGAATTAGCAAGAGGTAAGGAAGAGGAGTTGGTTAACAGGAAGCAGGTGATCAGTTAGGCAATTATGATGGATGAGGCGTCTAGTGTCTCATTGTACAGATGCAATGATCTGGTAAGTTTCAGTTCATTGATACTATCTGAGAAGGCTGATGGTTGGTTTCCCGAGAAAGGAACTCAGATAAGAAAACTGTAACTTTCATAAGTTTTAAGACTGGGAGTAGCTGGATGTGGTGGCTCACGCCTGTAATTCCAGCACTTTGGGAGGCCAAGGCAGGTGGATAACGAGGTCAGGAGATGGAGATCATCCTGGTAACATAGTGAAACCCTGTCTCTACTAAAAATACAAAAAATTAGCTGGGCATGGTGGCGGGCGCCTATAGTCCCAGCTACTCAGGAGGCTGAGGCAGGAGAACGACATGAACCTGGGAGGCAGAGCTTGCAGTGAACACAGATTGTGCCAATGCACTCCAGCCTGGGTGACAGAGCAAGACTCCATCTCAAAAAAAAAAAAAAAAAGACAGGGAGTGTCGATTTTTTTATTTATTAAAAAAACACACACACACATAAACATCAGTTCAGTTCTGTGGGGCAACTGGGTTGGTTTCAAAGCTACTTAGATTGCATGTGGTTAGTAGAAAGTCAGGTTGGAAAAATAATACCTCTGTGGTTGGAAATATTGAGCCTGGAAGCCCATGGCCAAAACTCCACTGTTAGGAATCAGCCACTGAAAGAGCCCAAGAACATCAGACACACCTCAACAGTCTTCAGTTCATGTAACAAACTAGTTTGCTAACAACCCAGAAATTTGAAAGTCTAGAGGTCTTGTTGGATCTGCAGAATCAATTTTCCCTCTGTACTGTAAGTTTGTAAGCTAGTTTGTAAACTAGAAAGGGAAGGAAGTGGTAGCAGATATCTGAAAGACTGAGTATTTAACTCTATAGAGAAATTCTCAGAGCTATAGTATATATCTCTATGGTGTTTGTCTGCAAAAGCTTGAAATACACAAATAAACTACTCAAATTAAGTTATTCTAACATAACTAGAATATATTTCGTTAACTTTGCACTTGTACCTACTTCATTAAAAAGCAGATATCAGTTAGAGGAAAAAAAGTACAAGTATAGCTCCACCAACTACTAACATAACTATGGTAGTTCTTTTCCTAAAGATAAAGCTAAGAAACCTGTTTCACCAGCTGTATTAGTATAAGACTAAGACATGTTTCACCATCTGTATTAGCTCGTTTTCACACTGCCAATAGAGACATACCTGAGACCGGGCAATTTATAAAAGAAAGAGGTTTAATGGGCTTACAGTTCCACATGGTTGGGGAGGCCTCGCAATCATGGCAGAAGGTGAAAGACACATCTCACGAGGCAGTAGACAAGAGAAGAGAGAGTGTGCAGGGAAACTCCCATTTTTAAAACCATCAGATCTTGTGAGACTCATTCACTATGATGAGAACAACACCAGAAAGACCTGCCACCCTGATTCAGTTACCTCCTACTGCATCCATCCCACAACATGTGGGCATTCAATATGATATTTGGATAAGCAAACAGCCAAACCATATAATTCCACACTTGGCCCTTCCCAAATCTCATGTCCTCACATTTCAAAACCAATCATGCCTTCCCAACAGCCCCCAAAGTCTTAACTCATTTCAGCATTAACTCAGAAGTCCACAGTCCAAAGTCTCATCTGAGACAAGGCAAGTCCTTTATGCCTATGAGCCTTTATACATTTTCTTATGTTCCTCTGAGCCCTCCAAACTGTTCCAGAATCTTCCTGTTACCCAGTTCAAAAGCAAGTTAGTTACTTCCTAGATACAATGGGGATACAGGTATTGGGTAAATACAACCATTCCAAATGGGAGAAATTGGCCAAAACAAAGGGGCTAAAGGCCCCATGCAAGTCTGAAACCCAGTGGGGCAGTCAAATCTTAAAGCTCCAAAAAGCTCTCCTTTGACTCCATGTCTCACATCCATGTCACACTGATGCAAGAGGTGGGTTCCTATGGTCTTGGGCAACTCTGCCCACATGGCTTTGCAGGGTACATCTTCCCTCCCATCTGCTTTCACAGGCTCACATGAAATTGAGTGTCTGAAGCTTTTCCAGGTGCATGATCCAAGCTGTCTGCAGATATATTCTTCTGGGGTCTGGAGAATGATGGCCCTCTTCTCACAGTTCCACTAGGCAGTGCCCCAGTAGGGACTCTGTGTGGAGGCTCCAACCCCACATTTCCCTTCTGTATCACTGTAGCAGAGGTTCTCCGTGAGGGCCCCCGACTGCAGCAGACTTCTGCCTGGGCATCCAGTCATTCCCATACATCCTCTGAAATCCAGGAGGATGTTCCCAAGCCTCTATTCTTGACTTCTGTGCACCCACACTCCCAACACCACAAGGAAACTGTCAAGGCTTGGGGCTTCCAACCTCTGAAACAACAGCCCAAGCTGTGTCTTGGCCCCTTTTAGTCACAGCTGGAGCAGCTGGGATGCAGGACACCAAGTCTCCATACTGCAAACAACAGAGGGACCCTGGGCCTGGTCCAGAAACCACCTTTTCCTTCTAGGTCTCTGGGCCTGTGATGGGAGGGACTGCTGTGAAGACCTCTGACATTTCCTGGAGACATTTTCCCCATTGTCTTGGGGATTAACATTTGGCTCCTCACTTATGCACATTTCTGTGGCCAGCTTTAATGTTTCCTCAGAAAATGGGATTTTCTTTTCTATTGCATTGTCAGACTGCAAATTTTCCAAGCTTTTATACTCTGCTTCCTTCATAAAACTGAATGCCTTTAACAGCACCCAAATCACCTCTTGAATGCTTTGCTGCTTGAAATGTTTTCCACCAGATACCGTAAATCATCTCTGTCAAGTTAAATTCCACAAATCTCTAGGTCAGGGGCATAATGCCACCAGTCTTTTTGCTAAAACATTGCAAGAGTCACCTTTGCTCCAGTTCCCAAAAAGTTCCTCATCTTCGTCTGAGACCACCTCAAGCCTGGACCTTATTGTTCATATCACTATCAGCATTTTTGTCAAAGCTATTCCACAAGTCTCTAGAAAGTTCCAAACTTTCTCACATTTCCTTATCTTCATCTAAGCCCTCCAAACTGTTCCAATCTCTGCCTGTTACCCAGTTCCAAAGTCGCTTCCATATTTTTCTGATATTTTTTCAGCAATGCCCCACTCTACTGGTACCAGTTTCTTATGTTAGTCTGTTTTCATTTTGCTGATAAACACCTGCCTGAGACGGGGTAATTTACAAAAGAAAGAGGTTTATTGGACTTAACAGTTCCACATGGCTGGAGATGCCTCACGATCATGGTAGAAGGCAAAAGGCATGTCTTACAAGGTGGCAGACAAGAGAAGAGAGCTTGTGCAGGGAAACTCCCCTTTTTAAAACTATCAGGTCTCGTGAGACTTATTCACTGTCAGAAGACAAGCACAGCGAAGACCTGCCTCCATGATTCAATTCATGAGTCAATTCCCACCAGGTCCCTCCCACAACACATGGGAATTCAAGATGAGATGTGGGTGGGGATACAGCCAAACCATATCACCCACCCAACTTTCTGAACCAAGCAGTTAGTACTTCATGAGTGTGGTAGGCTCATCAATAATCCCCAAATATGTCCATGTCCTAACTCCTGAAAACTGTGAATATATTATCTTAGATGGCAAAAAGGACTTTGTGTATTTTATTAAGTTAAGGATCTTGAGATTGGGAGATCATCCTGCATTATCCCACTGCCTCTTGTGTAATCACATGGTCATTAAAATAGACAGGCAAGAAGTCAATTGGTGATAGTGGAGAGGGTGGGAAGATGTTACACTGCAAAGCAGCCTTGAAAGTTAGAGAAAGGCAGACATTAGAAGCTGGAAAATACTATTTCTTCCCTAGAGCCTCCAGAAGAAAAGCAGCCCTAAGAACACATTTTAGACTTCTGACAACTAAAACCGTGAAGTAACTTATTTATATTGCTTAAGGTCACTATGTTTTTGGCAATTTGTTACAGCAGAAATAGGAAACATATACAATGGGTCTAGAAATTGTTTTCACTTTCTCCAATACAGAATTGAGTCATTGGCTCCCATTTTAGCCATGCAAAGGGCCACAGTAGGAAAAAGAGGACAGGAGAATATGCAAAGTATCAATTATTTCCTCAGCAGCAACAAGCAAAGCAACAGGTTTGCAGCACAACTAAACACCCCAGTTCCTGTAATAACAAGTGTTATTCTTCAACCACTATTAAGAGAAACAATGAGTAAACAAGGCTAAAACATGAAAAAGCTGGAGAAGTGCATCAGAGATAATGAGTCATTAGGATACAAAGTAAAATGCTCACAAATATTAGATAAATCTATTAATTGATAAAGAATATTTTATAATGTCATATTTCACAACAGTCATCTTTGGTCATAGATTTGATTTTTGGCTAGTCCATAAATTACTCTTATTATAAGATTTCAGAAAATATTTTTTGACATATTGCACATAGCTTTAGCTATTTCCATACCTCACAATGCCAAAATGCATTAACTTTAAAGAATAAGACTGCAGGTTATTCTAAATAGAAAACATGTTTTTTTTTTCTTTAAAACAATCACTTTCATTTCTGTGAAAGAAATTACACAAATTATTTGCCACTAAAAGAGACACACACAAATCTGGTATATGTCATTATGGGGAGACTATGCTATTCTAATGTGTTCAGCTATGTGATTTAAATTTTAGAAGCAGCCATGCAGAGTTTAGAATCATACTGCATGAACATCTATTCTCATTATACATTTATTAATTAAAACTGGATTTAACTCTCTTTTTTATGAGAAGAACAGAAAGATGTTGGTGCTTTGGGAAGTATCTTTAAGTCAGTTCTTGTGTTAGTAGCATAGGATGGATGTAATTAACTTCTACTTTGGGCCTTGCGTGTATCTGTAAGAACTGTGGATTTTACCTGACACACAATCTTGTAAGGGCAAATGGCTGGGTTTATATTGCGTTAGATTCAACATTACTTATGATTACCAGCTGGACTTATAATGAAGTGTCTGTCATTGAGTTTCCAACAGTAAGGCTTCTGCCAAATTTAAAGCAAATTAATGAAACTTGTTCACTGAAGGGAGACATTGGCATTAAAGTTTGGCAGATGTTATTTGTCACCCACTGCAGGATATGGTTTTAGCTTGATTTTGCTATTGTAATCTATGTATACTGGAGAGAATATAACCCAGAGAATCACAAAACTAGTTTTATTTACAATATTATTTAAATATTATGTTGGTCTAGTTGCTGAATAGTCTCACTTTCACAAGAATATACACTGAAGCTATGTGTGTCTGTTTATAATTCAAATATCCTATATTTGATTTATTCAACAAATGTATATTTGTCTCAAGGAGATTGTAATCATATGATAAAAAAGTAAGTTACTATGGTTGAAAAATCTATAGTGCTTCAGCATGTAACCCTGATAACAATACTTGAAATGGTTTTTTAATCTCTATTTTAAGGAAGAGAAATGAGTTTAGTAATTTTCTAGACACCTAAATAAGTGTAAATTCAAGGCTATCACTAGTTTTATCCATTAAAAGTCATAATATGCTACATGAAAGGCAGTGCATTGCAAGGTTTTATTAGAAATGAGAGCACTCTGAAGTAGAAAGAGTTAGAAATTACATACATTTGAACAAGAATGGGATTCACAAAAATGGCTACATTTTGGTCTCACCATAAAGAAAGAGGATATGACTGATGTTTCTTCATATCTGCACAGTCACCATCAACACTGACATACATCTAGTATGCATACATTCACTATATTGGGCTTTTTAAAATTGCTTCTTTAGACAATATATTTTTCTAATTAATTTAACCTTCCTACCTATATATTTCACAGGGATCTTCTGGGTTTGTTGCTGTTCTTTCCAAAGTATTTCCTTCAAGAATATTTTCACAGAAGATTTCTTTTCAGTCTCGTGTGCATGAATATCTTGGATAGGCCATGTTATTTACATGATATTTTGACCAATATGTACATTTTTGATGCTTAATACATGCATTAGATTGGTTAAAATTAAAATATAGGTGACCACATGGTTTTAGCTATTTCCTAAATTGATGGTGAGGCCATGGGGCAACTGGAAATCTACTGCATTGCTAGTGGAAATGCAAAATGGTAAAAACACTTTAGAAAAAATTTGGAAGCTCTTAAAAAATTAAACATCCCCATGCCATATTACTCAGACATCCCATTCCTACTTACCCAAGTAAAATAAAAATATACCCAAAGATTTCTACATTTAAAAATGTATATAGTAGCTTTATTGTAATAGCACTGAGCTAAAAATAATTTGAATGTTCATCAGTAAATGAATGGATAAACAAATTAGACTATACTCATTTAATAGAATACTATTAAACAATAAAATGATCTGGAATACTGATACGTGCAAAAACACAAATGAATTTTAAGAAAATTATGTAAATACAAAAAACTAGGCAGAAGAGAAGAGTATATAGAATTAGAGAAATGTATATAACCTCAAGAAAATAGAAATAAATAAATGTGGCAGAAATCACATCAGTAGCTCCGTGAGAATTTTACCTGTAGGACAGATGTTTACAATATGAGCCAAAAGAAAACTTTTGGGGTGATGGAAATGTCTGCTGTCTTGATCAAGGTTATGATTTCAGGATGTATTAATTTGTTAAAATTTATCCAATTATACACTTTAAGTACATACAGTTTATTGTATTTCAATTAAAACCCCATAAAGTTATAATTCTTTAAATCACTGAAAGGCAGTGTCAATTTCTTTCAACTCTTTGAAGTATTTGTGCTATTATTATTTTATTTACAATGTAGCTATTGAAAATTTTGCTGTTATTTTGACTCTTGTTCCTTTTTAACTGCTGGTTCAAAAATGATTTTAGAATAGTTTTCTTTGATATGATCACATTTTATTGATACATACCTACATGTATATTTCCAGCTTTTTTACCAGCTTGATTTCTTTGACCTGAATTTCTGCATTTCTACCTCACTAATGTTGATGCTTTACAGTTATAAATGTTTAACTTAATTTTATTATCATTATTATTTCAAATTATCCGATTACATTATTCATCTCAACTTTTAGTTCCATAAATATGTTCAAAGTTTGTGCATGATGACCCGATGATATATGACCCTGTTGATTGATTCTATTGACTTGATTTCAAACATAATATCTTCTCTCCTTGTGTTACTATCAATTTTTGTTTAAATGCCTAGTACTTTATATAAAAATATTTAAAATACTTTGAGGCCTAGAATGATATTGTATTCCTCTTGAGAGAATTTATTATTGCTTCTGTCAACATCTAGGTGTAGAAACAATCATAAATCACCATAGTACAATTTCAGAGATTTATATATTTTGGCCCTGTCTGGACCCTGTGGTTCCACTTCACCCCTGGTGCTTACATTGCCTTTCGTAGTCTTTATTCCAAGGTTGACTTTTACCACGGAAGGCGTTCTTAGCTGACTATAGAATCCTTTTTTTCTTTCTTTCTCTCTCCAGAAAGTTATGAAAAGTAGTGATTTTTTGCTTGGTTTCTCAGTCTCTCAGCTAATTGTTCTGAATTGGCAGACATCTTTGGGTAAAGAATGATTTCAAACATACGGCTCGCATTTCTGTTCTTTCTCTTTTAGATTTTGATTACATACGATTATTCTTTCTTCTTTTTTTTTCAATCCCTCCAGGTTTCCTAGTTATTCACCTTGGAAGAGTGGATGAAAATTTCCTGGCTAACCATTACCAAAAATATAATCTTCCTGAGTGGGTAACTTTTCACTGTTATTTACATTTGACTAAATGCGTAAACTAGAATGGTATATCGAAAATAATATTTAAAAAAGTAAAAGCTGGAGGGTACGAAATACAGAGTTTACTTTTAAAATAGAATTAAATGTTTAGTTTTAATAAAATAAAAGAAATACTAGATAGCAAAAATAACTTCGCTTTTCTTCGTAGAATTCATATAACAATTTTATATATTTGGCAAAGGTCAATTAAATTACCCTTAGGACTCATATTCCCTTTTGCATGAAGACACGAGTAAATTATAACTTTTTTTTCTGATACTAAGGAAAAGGTACCCCCACTACACCACTTGCCAAGTGTTGTAAGAACAATGTGTGCCCTAAGCACTTTGCAAAATTCCTTCTAGTATTTAGTTGTATCTATATACAAGTTAAACTTAAAAGTTTGCTGTAAAATTTTAAAAATATTTTAACACAACTTTAAAATAATATGAGTGTAAATTGAACCTCATTTTTGAAAATATAAAAATTTATATGTACAAGATTACAACGTTTTTAAACATTTAGACATTTATTGATTTTTACTTAAAATTTTTTCTTTGATATTTTGGAGTCAATAGTTTTTTCCTATAAGCCTCCAATAATTTTATTTCAATGGTTAAAAAAATAGAAATATCTTTAAAATGAATGGGAATACCTTTTCTTAATTTTAATATAATAACTACTATAGCTTTAAATTCTCTTACACGGGAAAATGACTGAAGAAAAAAAATCTGTCAGAAAATTTATATCCCACATATTATCCCACAAGTGGCATACTTCAATCACTCAATGGCACATTTCAATCAAACAGTACTTTGCCATTTTAGCTGAGTCATAGAGAGTTTTTGTTAAAATATTTCAGGACAACTTCTATTATTAGTGATGTATTGGCAGTAACTATACACCTCTTTTGAAACCCTAATTAGAATAGACATTTTTAAGAAACATTTGAACACAAAATATACTGGGTCATTGATCCCAGGAAGTCCTATCCGGATTGACTCATACCATTTGATAATGGTGATTCACAGAAGACATACCTTATGTAAGTAGGAAAAAAAAAAGGAAATCATTGATATGTAAAGTTTGAAATTAATTGTATACTGTGTACTATATACTTAATTAAAATTGCTTTAAAAAACTAAAACAATCCAGTTATCCATCAACTATCAAATGGATAAATCTTGGGTTAATAATATAAATTTTGGAGGGTTATATAATTTGGGGTTTTTGTTATAATTATTGTATTATTAATATAAATAATAATTATGACTTATTAATGATGATTATAAAATAATGGTTTTGGGTTATTAATATAGATAACAATAAATATGTGATTTATTGTCAATTATACCAATTATTGTTTGGCAACCAAAAAAATTCTACGGATATACACAACACTATAGATATATCTGAAAAGTATGATGCTGAACTAATAAAGCCAGATATAAAATACTTCATGTATGACTTCATTTCTTTTAAATTATATACAAGTTAAAACTATAGAGAAGGAAAACATCAGTGGTTGCCAAGATCCAGCAGGAAATGTGATAGCAAAGGGGTAGAAGGAGAATGTTGGTGTTGAGGGAAACATTCTACATCCTGGATTCGTGATGATGGTGCACACCTATATCATTTTCAATACTTATCCGATTGTACACTTAAAAACAGTGATTTTTACTCTGCTTAAATTATGTTTTAATAAAAGTTTATTTTAGAACACTATTTAAACAATAATCAGTAAGATAAATAGCCACATATTTATGTTCATAGTCAGTATCAAAGTTTAAATTTATCCCTTCCTAAGTGAGGTTAACTATTCTATTGAGTCCTCTGTGTTTTTCCTTAGGGAGGTGGACTGTTCACAGTAACGTTTTCCATCTTAGAGCCTCCTGGAAAATCCTAATACGGAAGCATTAGAGTCAACAATATGAACAAACACTGTGTTGAAGAACATGTGCCTTTAGTTTCCATTTCCCATTTGGACAAACTTTGCTCTGTAAATTTTTATTTCATTTCTCCTTTAAGTCCATGTTGCTGATGATTAACATTTCTTGAATATTAGCCTGTAGGTTTTGAAGATTATTCAGCACTTAATTAATCTTTTGAAATCATTCTCACATATCTCTCCTAGCTCTGACCTCTTTTAAGAGGACGATTTTTACAGCAATGGAAGAAAGTGTATTAACTCAATTAACAATTGAACAAGCAAAGTCCTCTGCTCTTTGCCTCAGTACACTTAGGCAAAAGGCAATAAATTCACACTTCATCCTCTGCCTGTCAGCAAGTAAGTTATTTGTGAGAGTCCAATAACCCCCAACTAACTTCAGCGATGTAAGACATATACAGAGATTTGAATTGTGCAAATATGGTATCACTATCATGTTAACAGATAAACAAATTGAGATGTAAAGAGTCTTGTTCAGTGTCAACAGGCAAGAAAATGCTGAAATCAAACCTCGAATGAAGATCTACCTTCCAATTTACTTTTATTTTTAACATACCTTGTTGCTAGATATTGACTTAATGAGAAATACAGTATATTCTTTCTAAGATGTCATGCACTAATTATTTCATTGAATAGCCCATCTACCCTCTACATGCTATTTAGACATCCTGGGAGTTAGTAAATCATGACCAAAATAAAAACTATTAAAAGGTATAATTTTATTGTTTAATGTAAGCCAAATATTAAAAAATTCATTACATATATCCAATGGTATATTTATAATAAGCAGAATATTTTTTCTTTCTTATATATGTGTATATTACTGTACATAGAATATGTTCACTTTAAGGTCTAAAAGAATCAGCAATAGCAAGAAACAGTATGCTGTAAATTATGAATCAGTTGTTTCATCCATGCTGACATAAAATATGTCCATTATTTTTTCTAAATTTAAAACAATGTCATGTTTAATTCCCAACAGATATGAAAGGATACTAAGCCATAATATTGCGACACCAGTGTCAGCAAATTGAAAGTGGCAAACAAAGAAAAGGGAGCTTAGTTACTATTCATGAAGGTTGTACATTTTCTCTATTGACTCCAAATGATCGTTTAATTCTTTTTTCTATGATGCCTAGGCTCAAGTGCAGTACCTATTCATCATTGCTATCATAGCACACTGTACCCTTGAATTACAGGGCTTCAGAGATCCTCCTGCTTCAGTCTCTGGAGTAACTGAGACTACAGGTGTGCGCCACCTCACAGCTCCAAATGCTCTTTACAGATTGAAATCTCTACATTTCTGACATAAAAAAATGAGCTGACCAAAGCATTTGGTATTGAAAATGCATCTGCTTTCTGACAACAGACAACTCATTGTTATTAAAATGCCACATCTTTTTTTTTAATTTACAGTACTTTTTTTTTTCTTTTGACAGGTGTCAGGATGAAATGCTCATGTATGAGAGCAACATAAAAATATCTGGAGTTGAATTTAAAGAGGAAGTTTCAGATGCAAAGAAAATGCAATGAACTATTTTTAAAATTTAACTTTAGCAAAATAAACAAAGGTGATTTTTACAGCTTCTTCATAATTTTTCATCCCATGGTCCTTTCCTGATAGTCCTGCTTTCAGTTAGATTTTTTTTTTCACAAGCCAATTAAATTGTACGTGACAATCTCTTTTCTATCACAATTGATCAAGCTTCTGAAAGACGGAAAAATGATAATGGAATAATTAGGAATTAGGCTATATAAACTGAATTATTTTCTAACTTTAAGATTTATTAACAATTCTTGGCAGTGCTCGTATCTAAATAGGTCTTGGAGTGTCTGTCTAAACATGTTCCCTTTTCTGAGAAATTTTCATCTCCCGTGTTCACATTATCACTCCTGAGACAGTTGACTTTCACAACCCTTACTTGTGTGAGAAACAAGCCATATGCACTTTCCTCCAATAACACCCTCCACACAAGCCACAAATAAAGGATCAAGGGTAGGTTGATTACCTAATACAACCAAACAGAGACCCTCTCACAAAAATTAGAAGTTGCCACACGAAGAAACTTTATTCACTCGTCGATTGATGGGCATTTTGGTTGGTTCCAAGATTTTGCAATTGTGAATTGTAGGAGCTAAGCTATGAGGACACAAAGGCATAAAAATGATACAATGGAGTTTGGGGACTTGGGGGTAAGAGTGGGAGGGGGCGAGGGATGAAATACTACAAATATGGTGCAGTGTATACTGCTCAGGTGATGGGTGCACCAAAATCTCACAAATCAACACTAAAGAACTTACTCATGTAACCAAATACAATCTGTACCCCAATAACTTATGGAAAAATAAAATAAAATAAAATAAAATTTTAATTAGTTAGAACTAAGGTTTAAGGTTATTTAGATACAGTTCAAGAGTATCTATGTTGAAGTCAAATTTTGAGGCCCTCTTTATTGGAAAGAGTATATACTAGAAAATCTAGATTTAAAAATTAGAAAAATAAATATTCTGAAGAAACAAATGAGAGACTGAAAAATGAAACATAGTTTTTCTGGTAGTTTTCAGTTTCTTTTGTTGTTAGAGCCTTCCCTGGCACTTGAGTTTCAAGAAATGTGCCAATTTCTTCGTAATAGATTCCCCTTTACTAAAACTAGTTTATACTTGTTTCTCTTTTCGTTAAGA
Organism: Homo sapiens; assembly: GCF_000001405.40. Classification (NCBI taxonomy): domain Eukaryota; kingdom Metazoa; phylum Chordata; class Mammalia; order Primates; family Hominidae; genus Homo; species Homo sapiens. Next base: position 116,322,377 of record NC_000004.12, read on the forward strand.
AATTATTTAGAAAAAAATTAAATCGTTTATATTTATTTTCAAAAAACTTTCTGGCCTTTTTATTTTTCACATATTTTAAGCTTTGAGCATTTTAAGTTTGTTCTGTTTGCTTACTGCTAAATAATTAGTTCCATTTCCTACCCTTGAAAATGTCACTAGGGAACAGAATGTTTGAAAGATAAGAAGACTAAAATCTTCCCTTGCTTGAAGCTATAAAAAAAAATAACTCGAAGCTACATAACCTTCAAAAAGTTTAATCTGATAAAGTGTTAAATTAAGAACATTCTCCAATTCCCAGCCTTATATTTTGCTTAATATGAAGGCATGTACAAAAATATGCAATACTGTTTTGCTTTTTATTATGAAATTGTCCTTGGAAATATTATTTTAACACAATATTTAAAAATTCAAATCTCAGAGAGTAATATGTCCTGTAAACAGAAACATTTAAATGTTATATGCTGTAATTATAATAATGTGGCTTTCTTAATAATGTTACACTGCTAATAAATGTTTAATCCACATCTATTAACTTCTAAAAATTATGGATGCTTACAAAATATATTTTTTGAAGTAGTGAAATTAGATAATTTCTTCTCTTCCTGCACACTCGAAGATAAAATAAAACATATAACTCTCTTGGCTTAATTAGTCTAAACTCAAGTAATGAGTTTTAAAATCTTTCTTTTGTTTATATGAATATTTCATAATTCTTATAATTTTAACGTTATTAGTTCTTTTATTTTACTTTGAAAAAATGTATTTATGAATTTTGTAAATTTACTAAAAGTAATTTGCTTGCAAAGAGAGCAAATTTTTTTCACAGAAAAAAATGTGCAAACTCTGACATTTCATTGTATTTAAACTTTGCATATAAATAAAGCAACCTTTTATTTGTAGGTAAAGTGTCTAAATAATCTTTCCAGATATTTGAGTTCTTGATTTCAATATATTTACTTATTGAGTAAAACTTATTTCTTATTTCTATTTTAAAGATACAGATGCAAAAGAAATGGAGAAATAAGCCTTTAAAGAAAATCTACTATGTGTTAAGCAGAATGCTGTATAGTTTATTATGCAATTTTTAAATTAGTTTTTCTTTTCTTTTCTTCCCCCACTCACTCTCACCCAGATAGCGGCTCACTGTGTCTCCCAGGCTGTAGTGCAGTGGTGCAGTCACCCTCACTGCAGCCTCAACCTCTTGGGCTCAAGAAATCCTTCTATGTCAGCCTCCCAAGTAGCTGAGACTAGGCGCCCGCAACCACACCTGGCTAAATTTTGTAGAGATGGGGGTTTCACTGTATTGCCCAGGCTGGTCTCGAACTCCTGGGTTCAGGCAATCTGCCCATCTGAGCTTCCCAAACTGCTGGGATTACAGGCTAAAGTCACCACCCCTGGGTCTAATATTATTTATTTATTTATTTATTTATTTATTTATTTATTTATTTATTTGTAGAGACGGGGTTTCACCATGTTGCCCAGGCTGGTAAATCTCTTTTAATCATGCAAATAATTGTAATAGGAATTTTTAAAGATGAATTCCCTAAAATGAAGTATCTTTTCCAGGTACACAACCAGTATGTCCTGACTAGATTTTAAATTGAGATTTCATTTTATTACATATACTTGCGTTAGGCTTTTTCTCATGAACTCATTAAAAAGTTCTCTTTCATTTTCAATAATAATTGGGTTTTCTAGCTCCTAAACCAGTCAATTATTTGAGCTTAATAATATTTGTGTCAATCATAATCATAAAATATTTGGTAAAAATATTAGACTCTTCAGGAAAACCTTCTGAGGAACCTATCTATTCTTGACATTGCACCCTAGGCATGAACTAACCTGGGGTGAGCTATGAATGAGTTAGCTATGTTCAAACCCCAAAATGACACCCTTTCTCTTCTTCTCTGTTCTCTTGTCATTGTGTTGCTTCCAGATTGTCTCTTTTTGCCATTCAATTGTTTCACTTTTTAATTTTTCCCACGTGACTTTCTTACTATCATTTAATTCTCATTTTTTTCCTCCCACATTTATTTTTCAAAAATATGGTAGCTTCCAACTTTATCTAGTGATTGTACAGCATTATGAAAATAGTTCTATCCTCACTTGTTTCCGTGAGGTTTGTAGAATTTTCCTGGAGCTGGGTCAGTCAATTTGGTAATAAGTAATAAGCTTTGCTACATTCCAAGTCAATCACATATTTAACCCCTTAAAGTTTACTGTCAGTTCTGCAGTCTCATTTGTCAAATGTGTTTTTGTTTATTTATTCAATTTGTTTATTCAACTAAAATTAAATTAGATGACGGATATAAAATGTCCTTCAGAACTCTATCTAAATCATAACTCTAGTCTTTGCCTTGATTCATGTTTATGTACATATTTGCTGGCACCTTTATATTGTACATATAACTATATATAATTCTTTCCAACTTTGGGAAGTTTAATATTGTGACATAAAATTGTATGACAAATGTCACTTTAATAAGACTTTAAATACAACAGGACTCATGATTTAATATGTCTCAGTAAAAGCAAAGGTAAAAAAATTCATTTGTAATTATCTGTGACATAGTTTTATTAGGAATATTTACTTTTGTCTTGATTATACATCATTGTATCATTGCCTTACAAAACAACAAAGTTAACCTTACAACTTGATGACAAGGTAATGTTGAAAGCAACTTAATTTATAGCAAGTGATAGCTAAGATTTACAATATATTACTAACTTTTTTAATATAATGAAGAAAGCATAATGCTTCATATAATGAAGAAAGCATAAATGCTTTCAAATAATCTCAGAACTTTTAGTTTCTTAAATTCACTCTAGAAGCTAGAAAAAGTCAAGTGTATTATGAATTTTTAACACATAAATCACAGAGAGATTTGGTCCTCAGAATAATCCATCTGCTACAGTTTAAAATTATGTATGGTTAACTAATAGAAATGCTTTAAAAATAATTATATATTGTTTATTAAAACATCAGTGTGACACATAGTGGTGAAAATGTCACCAAATTTTGTATTTTAGTAATTTCACTGAGATTTTTGGTAGAAAACTATATAGTATATATTTCTTTATACTTGTTCAATGCCTAATTTAAAATCTTACAGTATATATATATCATACATACAAAAACATACTCTCTCTATATATGGTTTTAATAATAAGTAAGCAACATCTGAATATTTACCATCAAATTTCTGAATTTTAGTAACATGTTGACTGCTCAATGTGTACCTTTTAATTTTACATAATATCCACTTCTCCCTCAGGAAATTAATAACCTGAAATTAGTGTTATATATTGAAATTAGTGTTATAGATTGCCAATTTTTAGAGTTTTACCGTTTGTTTATGCCTATTTTTGAAATTTATGTAAATAGCATCATATGGAATATAATGATGAGGTATTTGGAGGCTATAATTATAAAGTCAAGATTATCAATATAAAGTTAATATCAAAATTGGAAAATTACTGTATTTACATATATAAAATAATCCACTGTATGAATATACCACAAGCTGTTTATATATTACATTGTTGAATGACTACTGTTTTATGACCCTTCATTTATTATTACTGAAAATTATGCTATATTCTTGAACATTTATTCTGAGGCACATGGCAAGAAACTTTTCATGGGTATGTAAGAAGTTAAAAGTACACATATCTTTAACTTCAATAATTAATGCAAAAGTATTTTCTAAAGTGCTTGTAACAATTTTCCTCCTAAGAGCATACTGATGAAACCCATGTATTGCAGACTATATTTTTCTGACAATTTGCTGAGAGTGAAACATTATCTCATTATGGTTTTTAATTAGAGATGAGGTTGAATAATTTTTCATACATTATTGATTATTTGTTTTTCATCTTCTGTATAATGTTTGCTAATGTGTTATTGCTTATTTTGCTAGTAAATTGTTCCTTTAATTGATTCATGGGAGTTGTTCATATATTTTACGTAAAAATTATTTGCCGATTTTAAGTATTGTAGATATCTTCTAGTTGTGGCTTGTCTTTCTGCTAAATTTCCATCATATTTTGATGAAAATAATTTTAAATTTCATATAGTTGTAGCTTAAATTTTATCTTCCTTTATTCTAATATTTTCCTTCAATGAGATCATAGCACCATTAGGATATTTTTATAGATTATTTGGAAAAACATAACATTCACAAATAAATTAATTATCTTTCTGGAATTGTTGTTTGTAACTGGCATAAAGAAAGAATAAAAGTCTATTTACTTTATATGATTAATGAATTTTTCTGGTACCGTTTTCTTATTTTCCCACTCATTTGCAATAGCAGCTTAGTATCATATAAAAATTTCACAGGTGTCTGAAAATTTCCTTATTGTTATACACAGATATTGCTGCACCAACCACATTGTTTTAAACAATGAGGCTACACAAATAATGTATGAATATCTAGTAGGTTATTCTTCACACCATTGTCTTACTTTTCACATTTTTGATAGCCATCTCTAGCATATATGTTTTATAACTTTTTTTTACTTTATTCACATTAATGCTACAAATCAAACGGATAACAAATTACCTAACAAATCTGCATCCTATTAGCATGACATGTCTCTCCATTAATTTTCATCTTACATATTTTTCAGTAAAATTTTATGATTGTCTCCGTTAAGGTCTTGTAATTCTTTTGTTCAGTATATTCCTTGTTAGATCATATTTACATGACAAATTATATTATTTTGAATTAAAATATGTAACTTCTTATTGCTGATTTATAAAAATGAATACTAAAGATCTAACCTGAGAGGAGAGAAAGCTCTGTTCACATCATTATTTGGCAGAGGAGAATACTCCAAAGATTGATTTATTTGATTGTAGAACTCCATTGCAGATTCCTTAGTCTGAATGATTCGACTGCCTATTAATCCTTTAAGAATCTACACTCCAGAAAGTCCAATGCAGTGTGAATAGAAAGACTATATTTTCTAACTTAAAAAAAGTGTTTTTGAAATCATATCACATGATTGTGAATGAATCATACATCTCAAATTGGGTTAGGCTAGGGAGGGGAGCAGAGACTAGGTGGATTTATGTTTTGCTCAGCTTGACTAGCTTCACTTTAAAATTCCAATTTTGAAATTTCTGAGTTATACCTAACTTTATAAGTAACTTCACCTCACAAGAAAGCAACATAATTTTTCACCGGAAAGAGGAGGTCAAGGAGAGATCCTGTACTGTATTTGACATTTCTTCAATTGCAGTCTTCAATCTCCACCATAGTGGAGTGACAGTGGTCATAAAGACACCCAATTCCACATTCAATAAAGACTTTCAATACAGAATGAGTCTTTGGATTTATAGCTTTACCTTTCCTACATTTAATAACTATGTAATTCATCAAATAGAGATTTTCTATTTGAAGATTAGAAAAGGAAAAATGAAAGGCAACATTTACTGCTGCCTCTGGTTTTATTTTCAAATTCAGGATCTTACTAATTTACATAAATACTAGTGATATTTTAAACAGTGCAAACTTAAATGAATCTCATTAATCCCCATTGACTACTATGCAAGAGTGTTTAGTGGTCTTCTCTCTTACATATCTATCTCTAACATCAAGCCAGCTGCCTGATACATGATTGCCAGAGAAGTTCATATTTTCTATTCACTTGTGCTCAGTGAAACTCCTAGCCAACAGCAGTGAGAAGTTAAAACAAGAAGTATGCTGAGAACTACTAGTAAATACTTAAGACTGAGTTATTTCTATATGCCAAACTCTATCTCATGAGGATGAAATGGGCATTATGTTAACCCTCTTTATGGCAGCTTTCACTAATGTTCAAATAGGATCAGAATCAACAGCTGCTAAGTGACAGGACAGTTAGAACATAGAAATGTCTGAAACTAAAACACGCAATTTTAACCATTGTGCAAAGAACATATAGTATGTGTGTGTGTGTGTATATATATATATATATATAAAATTCCTGATTATGTTTCTGGAAATCCTCTTCATCAAGTGTCTCTTAATGTGAGTCATTTAATCTGGTGGTAGTTTTGACTTTTTTTTTAACTTCCTCTTTCACATAGAAAGTTAAGGAACCTTAGCCCAGGATAAAAAGTAAAGCTCAACTGCCATGAGGGGAAGCTGCTATTAGATCTTGCCAGTAACTGAAGTCTAAGAAGGTATGAATAATGGGAATTCTAGGCAAAATGTTTGAGATAAGCCTGTAAGAAAAGATCAAGACATTCTAAAGTTATGCATATGTTTCAAATTTATTTGGCTGAGGAACAAGCAAAAATAACTATGGTATGATAGAGGATAATACCAGCTCACTGCTTTTGAAAATCTAAGTACATGTTCTGTCTTAGTCCAGTCAGCCTACGATAAGAAAATTACCATAAACTGAGTGAAATATACAATGGAAATGTATTTCTCACAGTTTTGGAGGCTTGGAAGTCCAAGATCAAGGTGCTGGCAGATTCACTTTCTGGTGAAGGCCATCTTCCTAGTCCATAGATAGCCCTCTTCTTGCTGCATCCTTACCTGGTGTAAAAGGTGAGGGTGCTCTCTGAAGTTTCTTTTATAAGGGCACTAATAATCCCATTTATAAGGATTCTGCCCTCATGAGCTAGTAAACCTCCCAAAGACCCTACCTCCTAATACCATCATTAGGGATTAGATATCAACATGTGCATTTTGGAAGGACACAAATATTCATTTTATAGTGAGTGCTCTATGGCTATGATGTACGTCTTTTGAAATATACTTACATGTCAGTATTTGACAGGGCTAAGATTACTGTGTTAGTTTTCTAAGAGTGCTATAACAAAGTACCACCGAAATGGGTGGCTTAAACAACAGAAATTTATCTTCACAATTTTAGAGGCTAGAGGTCCCAATTTCAAGGCGGGTTTCCTCCAAGGACTTGCTTCTAAATTGTAGACAGCTGTCCTCTCCTGACATCTCCATGCTGTGTTTCTTCTGCGAGCCTTTGCCTTAATCTTTGCTTTTTATGGGGACATGCATCATATTGGATTAATGTCTACCCTAATGACCTTATTCTAACTTAATTGCTTCTCTAAAGTCCCATCACCAAATACAATTACAATCCAAATTACTGGGGCTTAGAATCCATATTTTGACATATAAATTTGTAAGGGACACATTCATCCCTTAACAATTGCCATATACATTATAGGCTTTATTTGTATTTGATTATCCAATTAAACATAATGAAGTCTCTTTAATAGGATTCAAAATTCAAACACTGTGTCATGAATACTCTATTTGTATTCAAATATGTATATGCTATAATCTGAATGTTGGTGTCGTCCCAAAATTCATGTTAAAACCTAATGACCAATGGAATAGTATTAAGAGGTGGGGATTTTGGAAGGTTATTAGGTCATGAGGGCTCCATCCTCATGAACGGGATTAATGCCCTATAAAAAGGCTCAGGGGAGCCAGTTTACCCCTTCTGCCATGTGAGGATGCAGGAAGAAGGTCCCTCCCTACTTTAAAGCAAAGGCAGAGCTCTCATCAGACTGAACCTGCCAGCACTTTGATTTTGAACTTCTCAGCCTCCAGGGCTGTGAGCAATAAATTTATATTGTTTATCAATTACCCAGTCAAGGTAATTTTTTATAGAAACAAAAATTGATAAAACCATTATGCTTTCATTTCTCTACAGTATTTTGTACTATTTTGATGAGATATTAAAATGATAAGATCTTAAATTAAGTGGTATGTACTCAGGTATTCATTTTATTACTACAGTTTGAAATTACATATGTATTATAAATATCCAGTAATTTGATAATATCAAATATTACAAATAAACATAGACTTAACATGGTGACTCAACCCTGTAATTGCAGTACTTTGGGAAACCAAGTTGAGAGGATCACTTGAAGCCAGCAGTTCAGAACCATCCTAGGTAATAAGCCCCTATCGCTACAAAATTTTTTTTTTTTTTTTTTTTTTTTTTTTTTTTGAGACGGAGTCTCGCTCTGTCGCCCAGGCTGGAGTGCAGTGGCGCGATCTCGGCTCACTGCAAGCTCCGCCTCCCGGGTTCACGCCATTCTCCTGCCTCAGCCTCCCAAGTAGCTGGGACTACAGGCGCCCGCCACTACGCCCGGCTAATTTTTTGTATTTTTAGTAGAGACGGGGTTTCACCGTTTTAGCCGGGATGGTCTCGATCTCCTGACCTCGTGATCCGCCCGCCTCGGCCTCCCAAAGTGCTGGGATTACAGGCGTGAGCCACCGCGCCCGGCCAAAAATTTTTAAAAGCTTATTCGGGTATGATAGTGTGTGCTTGTAGTCCTAGCTACTCAGGAAGCTGAGGCAGGAGAATCAGTTGATCCCAGAAGCTCAAAGTTACAGTCATCTATGATCGTGCCATTGTACTCAGTCTTGGCAACGGAGAAAGGTCTCTCCAACATAAAAGTTAAAAAATTAAAAATTAATAACCCATAGTTTATAAATATAGAATAACACTCTCCATTCTGAAGAACTGATAATGGCAAAGTAAAAAGGCAATATTCATGTTAAGGAGGCAACTTAGAATCTCAACTACAACAAATTGACGAGTAGCAGATGGAACTTGCATAGTAGTAGCACATGTACAAGATATTAGGTAGAATATTGGAAAAATGGTGAAAAAGGAAATGTATGATTCACATAAGAAAACTATAGATCAAATCATTAAAAATCACCATGGCTTTAGAAATAGTCTTTTTGAATATTTTTTCAAAAGTTTTGAGACATGTATTTCTGCTATATTAAATCTTGATGTTCAGACTGTGAAAAAACAAAATTACTTCACAGGGACTATCTAAGGCTATCAACTAACAATAAACACTTTTAGACTCTTAATATGTAATAGGGTAGGTGTATGTCATGTGAACACATTTTACTAGTAAACACATGTTCCCAGAAAAAAATGTCAACTGCACTATAATAGGAAAATTATGTCCAGGTCATTTGGCCTTCCGAAAACTGAACTCTCTACTTCTAGCTTGAGAAAAGAATGTCATCACCAGCTATATTTCTTCAGAGATAGAACTTTAATAAGAACACAAACTTTTGATGACTTTATTACATGGAATGCCAATGGTAGTTGACCTTTCTAGTTTAAACTGAAGCCATATAATTTATGTATAGCTGCTATACCGAGAGCTATAGAAAAATGACAGTAACGTTTTGTACATTCTAAATACGCTATCTTACAACAATACATTTTCTGTCCTGCAATCAATTTAATGATTTCTGCAATTTTTTTTACTTTTTATATATTAAACTTACATTTTTTTCTTTTCTTACACAGCATAGATACTGCAATATTATAGTTATATCCACGTTTTTAGGGACATAACCTTAAAGATGCATAATTTTAATATTCATCATTGCATGCTAAGACACATTTGAGAAAAATATATCCCTCCACATTTTCCCAAAGCTGTACTCACTTAATTGTATCATTTACTTCTATCATCTGCATTTTGAAAATACCTCCACCCTAGGAACTAAATAGTAATTGTTTCTTAAAAATATGTATGTATTTTAAACTTAATTTATTTTAGTTAAAAGACTTTATCTTCTTTACTATTATATCCTAGAAATGAGTACAAATCCAAACACATAAGAATAGGTAAACAATGCTATTAAAATGGGTACAAAATCTGAACAGGCTATTGAAAATTAAAAAAACAAACAATACAATCTCACTTCTTATGATTATTAAGAGGGTCCCTAAAAAATACACTCACCTTTCATGTTCCATCTTTAAAAAGATTAGATAAAGAAACATTAAATGGGTATAGAGATCAAAATATCACCTACCATCCTGGCAATGATACACTGGGTTATGCTACTTGATTGAAAGTCCACTGGGCCTGCTCTCTGAATCCCAGATTTACCACTTTGTTTGCAGACAACACTGAAATGAGCAGGTCACTCCCCATGGGAGGTGGACATAGACTAGACCTATTTATAAATCCTAAAGAAGATTTAAAACCTAAAGGGAAGCAAAGAAAATAGCTGTAGCTGCACTATGCATGCCAATTTTACCCCAACAAAGTGTGTTTATCTGATAAGTCGCTTCGTCTATCTAATGCATTTAAAATTAGAAATTGGCATAATTTACCTGCAAAATAGGGAAACTGACCACATGAGCTTTCAACCTGATAGCAGCAGAAATAAAGAGAACATTTACTCACTTTTGTAAACAGCCTTGTTTGGACACAAGAAGTCAGGCAAAAATTTCAATCACAGGTGCCAAGCTCTCCCTGCTAATAGCTGTACTCATGGAAAGAGGAAGAGAGAGAGACAGACAGGCAGAGAGATCAGAGAGAGAGACTCCCACATGCCTTTAAATGATTTTCCTGGAGAATGTCTACAGCCATGACTAAAATGTAGTGACAGTTCCATTTTTATCAGTACAAAACAGACCTTTTATTAAACCATCTCTTAAGTAAAACTCACTTGTATGTCAAACCTAGATTTATTAGGAAGTGTTTCAGTAAGAATTGTAAATAAAAATGGCTTGCCAGAGTCAAATTGTGAGTGAGTGGGAAAAAAATCTATGTCGTTGATGATTTTTGGTTAAAAATGAGCTTCAGCATGTTTCTTCATTGCAACTGAAAATAGTAGGTTACACCCAATTCTTGTTTCTCTGGTTTTGGATTCTGTAACAGTAACTCACAGTACACCTAAAAGTATGAACTTCATTGCCATAGTCTCCTCTAGTTGGAAAAGATAAAGTCACAAGAAGCCTGCATTTTTTGAATTAAAGAGAGGTCTAAAAGTACTTTAAATATAATATCACAGAATTGTTACAGTGTATTTAAATGAAATTGATGTCACTGAAAGCTGTCATCTAGCTGTAGAGGGCCAGTGTCTCTTCACAGCCAGCTTTCATCTCAGGAAGCAGCTTTCTCCAGACATGCTGAACCTTCATTTATTTTGTCAAGAAAAATAAACAGCTGCTTTCTTTCTTCCCATGATAAATAAAGTCTTTTCAACTGGAAAGAATAAGATTGGGTCCACATAATAAATTACTATGTCAATAAGGTACTATTGATTCTTGGGGTAATCATCCTTAAACTATGTGGGATAAGATAATTCTGCTAAGTAGATCTAATGTTATTCAGGGGTAATATAAGGTATTTGTATAAAATAAGGAAAAAGGATCATAAATTTTAAAAACTTTATGCAGAATTACACATAATATGTTTTATAACAACCTATGAATGGAACTCCAAAATCAGTAAAATGATTAATTAATATGCATGGAGTGATCCATTGAGACATAGTGCTGTTTTTTGGAAGAGAGGAAGCTTCCTTTGCCTTTTAATCATTGTTATTTTGGACATTTCTTCAGTAGTTTTTAAAGATTAGGCTGCAATATGGAGATAGAAGATAATTGCAAATCTCCCTGTCTTAAAATAAATCTTTCACATTTTTCTGTGTAGTATCTTGCTTAAAAGCATATAAAATTATTGCTTTAGTTTATTTCTTCAAACGTGGTCATTGAATACCATGTTAAATAATAAAATATAAGAAAAAATAATGCTTGTCATATTGAATCTTTAGTTTTATGTATATCCAATTTCTTGTTTCTAAATATGTGGATGAATAGCTTTAAAATATTTTCCTGAGGCGGGTGGATCACGAGGTTAGGAGTTCAAGACCAGCCTGGCCACGATGGTGAAACTCCATCTCTACTAAAAATGCAAAAATTAGCCAGGCGTGGTGGCAGCTGCCTGTAATCCCAGCTACTCAGGAGGCTGAGGCAGGAGAATTGCTTGAACCCGGAGGTTGCAGTGAGCCGAGATAGTGCCATTGCACGCCAGCCTGTGTGACAGAGCAAGACTCTGTCTCAAAAAAAAAAAAAATTCCCAACCATACTGATTCACGTTCTTGATAATTATTCTTGATAATTTTTCTAACAAGCAAGTAATTTTATAACATTTGTCATTAAAAATATTATAGTAAGTCAGTCATAGCACAATTATGTACATGCTAATTACAATCAAAGTCCTGTCTCTATCTCTAAACTCATCCCGAAACAATATACTAAGAAATTCACTTCCCACTTCCAAATTCCTAAATGTTACATTAATGTGCATCTCAGTCTTAATATATTAAAAGCAAAATTGATTATATTTGTCTCCTCTCTACTGCACAAATTAGTTTCTCCTATATTCTTCTCATTTAATTAGCACCTGCAAAACCAAATCTGCAAATAATCGCTTGATTCCTCCTAGTTGCTCTTAATAGATCATCTTTCATCAATTCCTGCCATCAAATATAATTCAAATCCATTTATTTTCACTGCTGACATTAACTCCTACCTGTAGTACTACCATAGCTTTAAACTGACCCCCTGCTGCCAAGCTACAAGCCTTACTCCACGTAATAACTAGGGTGAATTTTTAAACATAAATAGTTTATATTATTCTCCTGCTTAAGATTTATCATGCCAGATTTAACACTTATCAAAACGGCCAAAATCAAGCCCCCAGAGACAAAGGCAAGTAAACAAAATCCTACAGACTATGGATGGTAGCTTACATTTGGATGTAGGGAATGGCATAGGAAGAACAAAATTGGCACAGGGACATCAGCTAATCCCTGATATAAAACTTCAGTCTCTCTGGAATGAATGTAAAATCTGAAGATTTTCTGGAATGATAATAAACAATGGTACTAAATGCGAAAGATAGCAAAGCAGGCACTTAAATTTGATTGTCTTGGGTCTAAGCACCAATTCTTGAGCTGGGTACATAGAAGGAGCATCATTTCAAGGAAACCATCACCAAGATGAAGCACACAAAAAATCATACTGTCATCTAGGACCAACAGAGTAGAGCTTGTCAGCCCTCTTGACAACCATGTATATGTAACTTTTAGAAGAAGCAGAAAGAAAAGAGGTACCATTTTAATTTAGATATTATTTTTATATATAATTGCATAGATTTATGTATACATATGCATAAATATACACAATAATATATAGTGAAAAATAAAATCAGATCAACTTAGAATGTTAAGTGTTTATTGTGCATATAAAAAACCCACTTTATGATCAACTTAGAATGTTAAGTGTTTATTGTGGATACAAAAAAAAAAACACTTCACAAACTGGGAGACTTCATATCAAAAAATGGCACAAAGTCACTGTATTACAGCAATTATAGCACACCTTACCAATCATAAAGGATAAAGTATTTTGACTTTTTAATGATTGACTGCCATGTATATTTTTAGGTAAATAGAGCTGTTTAATCTGATTCATTAATAAGTGATTGGTTTAGTTGGTTTAATTTCATTTAATCATGCTGATAAGGATAAAAAAGCTTATGTTTGTGTTTTATTTATGTTTAAGGTTAGTGTTTTGGGGAAATCAGAATGACTTAAGTTTTGGTTACATGGCTATGGGTGGTTGACTTTAGGGTATTCAGACTGTTATCTCCATTTTTGTTTATTTATTTCTAACAGGACATATATTGTTTATATTCCCTTCTGCCCTTTGAAGGTAATTGAAATGAACGAACAATAGACAGACTAACAGGAGAAAAGGCATATAAATGTATTAACATGCAAGCCAAATCCTTTATATGGTCCTGAAAGCATAGAAAACACAGCAAAAATAGACAAATGGGATGACATCAAACTAAAAAGTTTCTACACAGCAAGGAAAACAACAGAGTAGAGACAACCCACAGAATTGGAGTCTGTATTCAAATTATATTTGAAATATTACTCCATTAGATTTCAATCTCAGAAATGTTTCTTTTCAAATTATTTTTAACTGACAAATAATGATTGCATACATTTATAAGGGAAAATATAATGTTTTGATATGTGTTAACAAGTTAAAGACTAAATGAAACTAATTAGCATATTTATCATCTCACTTATCATTTTAATGGTAAGACGTTTAAAACTGGCTCAGCAATTTTGAAATATATAAAATATTAACTGTAGTCATTGTGCCATATAAAACTCAAACATTTATTCCTCCTCTCTCATTGAAACTTTGTACCTTTTGACCAACATCTCCACATTTCCTCTCTTATCCTTTGCTTTCATAACCATCATTCTACTCTCTATTTCTATGAGTTCAACTTTTTTAGATTCCACATGTAAATGATATCATGTAGTATTTGCTGTCTGTGCCTGGCTTATTTAGCAGAACTTCCTCCAGGTTCATTCATGTGTTGCAAATGACAGAATTTTCTGCTTTTTAAAGTCTGAATAATATTCAATTTTGTAAACACACCATATTTTTCTTTATGCATTCATTGGTTGATGGACACTAAGGTAGACTCCATGTATTGACTATTATCAATAGTGCTGCAGTGAACATGGGAGTGCAGACATCAGTTGTTCATATTGATTTGAATTCCTTTGGATATATACTCAGAAGTGGAATTGCTGAAGCACATGGTAATTCTGTCTTTAATATTTTGAGGAACCTCTATGTGGTTTTGCATAACGGCTGTACAAATTTACGTTCTCACTTAATAGTATACAAGTATTCCCTTTTCTCCACATCTTCAATAACACTTATCTTTCATCTTTTTGACAATAGTCATTCTAACTGTTAGGAGGTATTATCTCATTATCTCATTGTGGTTTTAATTTTCATTACCCTAATGATTAGTAATGTTAAGTATTTTTTTAATGAATCTGTGGAACATTTGGATGTCTTTCATAAATGTGTATTCAGGTCTTTGCCCATTTATATTTGTTTTTTTTTCTGGCTATTGAGTTGATTATCCTATACATTTTGGATATTAACCCTTTATCAGATGTATGGCTTGCAAACATAGACTCCAATTTTGTGGGTTGTCTCTACTCTGTTGTTTTCCTTGCTGCATAGAAACTTTTTAGTTTGATGTCATCCCATTTGTCTATTTTTGCTGTGTTTTCTATGGTTTCAGGGCCATATTCAAAAAATTATTGCTTAGATCAATGTTAAGCAGCTTTTTTTTCGATGTTTTCTTCATTCATTTTAGAGTTTCAGGTCTTACATTTTACTTTTAATCCATTTTGAGATGTTTGTTGTATATGATATAAGAATCAGATTTTATCTTCTGCATGTGGTTATCCAGCTTCCCAACACCACTGAAGATACTGTCCTTTCCTCATTGTGTGTTAGTGGCACCCTTACAAAAAATAATTTCTATAAATCTGTGGGTTTATTTCTGGATTTTTTATCCTGTTCCAGCGTATGATGTATTTTTAAGCCAATACCATTATATTTTAATTATTATCACTTTGTAATACATTTTGATGCCTGATAGTATGATGTCTCTCAGGTTTTTTTGTTTGTTTGTTTTGCTCAATTTGTTTTGACTATTGGGCCTTTTTTTCTGACTTTATATGGATTTTTGATTGTTTTGTATATTGGTGTGAAAAAATGAACCTGAAATTTTACTAAGAATTGCACTGAATCAGTAGATTTACTTAGGTAGTTTGGACATTTTAACAGTATTAATTCTTCCAATCCATGTACAAAAGATGTCTTTCTATTTATTTGTGTTTTTTGTCAATATCTTTTATCAATGTCTTATAGTTTTCAGTATACAAATATTTCACATCTTTGGTTAAATTTATATCTAAGAATTTTTCTTTGCTAAGTATTTTTGTTGTTATTGCTATTGCAAGCAGGATTGATTTCTTAATTTCTCTTTGGAGAGTTCATTATCAGCACATACAAAGATAACTGATTTTTGTATGTTGATTTTATATCCTTCAACCTTAGTGAATTCATTTATTATTTTTAACAGTTTTTTCATGGAATCTTTATAATTTTCTACAATAAGACCTATAATTTTCTGTAATATGTCATCAGCAAACAGACAATTTCACTTCTTATTTTTTCCTATTAGGATGTTGTTTATTTATTATTCTTGCCTAATTACTCTGGTGAGGATTTCCAGAACTATGTTGAAAGGAAGTGATGAAAGTGAACTCCCTTGTTATGTTTTTGATCTTAGAAGAAAAACTTTCAACTTTTGACTCTTCAGTATGATTTTAGCTGTGGTTTTGTTATACATGGCCATTACTATTGTGGTACTTTTCTTCTACATGCAGTGAGTTGACAAGTTTTATAATAAACGAATGTGGAATTTTGTCCAATCCTTTTCTCTGTTAGTATGATCATATGGTTTTGTCCTTCATTCTATTAATATATCACATTTATTTACGTTTGTTCAACCTTTCTTGCATCCCAGAGATAAACCCAGCTTAATCATGGTGAATAATTATTTCAATGTGTTGTTGAATACAGTTTGATAGTGTTTTGCTTACAATTTATGCATCTATGTTTATCAAAAATATTTGCCTGTACTTTTTTGGTAGTATCTTTGTCTGGCCTTGGTATTAGGGTAAGTTTCAGAGTATTCCTTTTTCATCAATTTTTTGGAAGAATTTGAGAAGGATTGGTATTAATATTTCTTTAAATGTTTGGCAGAATTCAGCTGTGATACCATCTGACCGTGGATTTTCTTCAATGGAAGATCTTTCATTACTGATTCATTCTGCTTACTCATCATTGATCCATTCAGATTTCCTGTTTCCTCATGATTCTATTGGTAGGCTGCATGTGTCTAGGGATTTATACAATTCTAGGTTATCTAATTTGTTGGTGAATAATTGTTCATAGTACTTTCTTATGATCTGTTGTAGTTCTACGGTATCAGTTATAATGTCTCCTCTTCCATTTCTAATTTGATTGATTTGAATGGTCTTTCTTTTTTCTTAGTCTAGCTAAGGGTTTGTCCTTTTTTTTTTTTCAAAAGACCAGCTCATAGTTTCGTTAATTTTTTCTATTGTTTTCCTAGTCTCTATTTCATTTATTTCTGCTCTGACTGATCTGATCTATATTATTCCACTCTTTCTGCTAACTTTGAACTTAGTTCTTTTACTGGTTCCTTAGGGTGTTGTGTTACATTGTTAATTAGAGATCCTTGAGGTGTAATGTCAGATTGTTCAAGATATTTCTTCTTTTTTTACTTAGACATTTATTATTGTAAATTTCCTTCTTACAAATGTTCTATGACTTGCCTTTCACCTCAATCTTCAATATTCTATTTGTTCAAGTAGTCATGATGTTTGTATGAAGGAGAAAATATATATTAATGATTCTATATACTATCAGTCAAATTCAACATCTTGTCTGACACCTATAGCAATGTTCTCAAACCTTTACTGAACGTGCATCTGTAGCTATGTTTTTTGTCTGTTTTGTTTTTGAGATGGAGTCTTGCTCTGTCGCCCAGGATGGACGGCAGTGGTGTGATTTTGGCTCACTGCAACCACCACCTCCTGGGCTCAAGTGATTCTCCTGGCTCAGCCTCCTGAGTAGTTGAAATTACAGGAGTCTGCCAGCATGCCTGGCTAATTTTTGTATTTTTAGTACAGACGGGGTTTCACTATGTTGGCCAGGCTGGTCTCGAGCTCCTGACTTTAAATGATCTACCCACCTGGGCCTCCCAAAGTGCTGGGATTACAGGGGTGAGCCACCATGCCCAGTCTATAGCTATGTTTTTAATGTGAACTTTCATCTGTGAATTTTTTTATGTTTTCTCTATATATAATACACAAAATAGGACAACGTAAAGTTAAAAGTGTAACATTAAAATAAAATATTTTTTTTCTTTTTTAATCAGAATCTCATGCTGTTGCCCAGGCAGGAATGCGGTGGCACCATTTAAGCTCACTGCAGCCTTGACCTCCCAGGCTCAAACAATCCTCCAACCTCAGCCTCCTGAGTAGCTGAGGCCACATGCACATGCCACCACGTCCAGGTTTTTTTTTTTTTTTTTGTAGAGATGGAGTGTTACTGTGTTGCTGGTCTCTAACTCCTGGGCTCAAGTGATTCTCCCACCCTGACTGGGGTTACAAGCATATAATTATATAATTACAGGCCACTGCACCTGGCCTATGAATATTTTAAATGTTGTATAATTAGTATGGTGTTAAAATAAATATAATTTAATGTGTATAGTTTTTATGTATTTTGGAGTTAATGCATTATAATACAACAGTTTAAATGGCTGGTTTAATTTTAAATGGTTGGTTTTACTGATTACATCAATGAAAATGTTACTTTACCAAAATATGTAGGCCTAAAAGAAAAAATTTCATCTTGGTTTCAATGAACTAATCATGATATTTTATTTTCAGTCATAATGTTTAACTTTAGTTTTGAAATTAAACTCATTAAATTTCATCTTCATTGATATCAAGCAGTTGTTCTTAATGACTAATCAATATATATTACATTTTAATAATTGTGATTACATTTCATACTTCCACTGAAATTTTTATATGAAAAGTCATGTAAATGTTGTAATACTCCTTTTCCAAGTCGTGTAAAAGTGTCATGAGTGTTTCTGTAGGTGAGAAATTTTGCCGTATTGGTGCAGAATCAGTATGTGATTGACAGAAGACAAGGAACTGAGGTAAGGGATACAAGTATCTTCCCATTAGATAAAGAGTGCAGAAATTTAGCTGATACAAGATGGGCACCAGATCAGAGCACCTGGAATCTGAGGGGCAAATATTATTGGCACTTTAAGGCATGTTGTTGCTCATCACACCTCCTGATAAATATGAAGACCCTATGTGATTCCTTCAGACTCTTCCCACATCTTCTAGAGATCTGCCATGTGAAAATTCCTGGAAACAGCCCAAACACAGTCCTGGGTAAATTACGAATTAAAAGTTAATTTTCTGTCAGTTCTTAGCAAGCTGAAGCTTTAGGAATGCATGAATTTCTTTTAGGTGCCAGAAACTTTTCCAAATAACTGTTTCAGACTTATGGTTTCACAAAACAAATTTCGTCTCAGAAGCAGTTGCTTTTACTGTGAAGGAACTGTATAAATGCCTCTGTTTGTTTTTCAAAAGTATCTGTTTGTTGATATAATTCTGATATCTTATTCCAGCAAAGACCGACAGATTTTACAACATGTATTTCTATAAGATATATAATCTATATGTAAGCTTGTTAAGTCTTTTGAAAGAACTAGGATCATATCCTGTAGCTCTTTGTAAAAATATTTTTCTTTGGTTACGTTATGGATGTTTCAGAGTATGCACTGCACATATAGTGTTCTCTCTATTATCATACTCTAGAATATATCTTTATTAAAATTTAAGCCAAAACAACCACTCTTTCAATGGGAACACTGAAATAATAAATAGTTTCTGATATAACCAAACCATTTTTAAACTAAAGTATCACAAAGTATTTTAGGGTTGAGACATATTATTATTCAAAAAGTGTAATGTTAAAAAGTAAAAAAGATAAAATTTTTGCCCTCATGTAAATATAAAATAAACACTTATTAATGATTTTATTTCATTCATTAATTATTGGAAGAAACAATGAGATGTTACAACTATGTTCACAGAAGAATCCAGAGTGTCAAGCATCCATCGACGAAAAAAAAGAATAATGACATAAATTTATAAATAGAATCAAAACTGTCAAATATACAGGGCAATAGGCAATTAAATTACAATTGACATAATTTGCATTTCTATGAACAAGATCATTTTTATTAGTATGTGTTCTACTACTTACAGGTTGTAAGTAACTCAGTGACAATAAAATGCAGAGATAACCTGGCAGGGTGTGTTAGACAGGATACCCATAATCATTGTCCATTCAGAGTTTTTCAGTGTTTCTTGACACTAGCAAATAGCAAACACCAATACATTTTAGGAATGTATAATTTTCCTTACCATTCTCTAACAAATCTTCAACATAATATATTTCCCTAAGTATAAATTCTGCTATTCCTATGTGGGCTATTTCTAGGTTTTATTTATGAATATTACTGCTACCAAGTCCTCGTACCTGTTGTTAAATAAAATTCATTGGAGGCATTGTTTTGGACTAAGCTCCTGCACTAGGCCCCAATAGATCAAAACAAAATGGAGTCACTCATGCTAAGTGCCATGTAATCAAACTGAAATTTTAAAGAAGCAGGAAAATCCCAAAGCGTCCTAAAAACAGGAGATTCACATCAACCAATATGAAAGGGCCCAGTCAACCTAAGCCAGCATGACTTGAAATCCTCTCTGCCTTAACTCTTACAAGGAAAGTAACCTGAAGTAACATGAGGTTAACAAATACACATTTTTTATTACTGTTTCCTTGTTTGTGCTCAAGTTACCTTACAAAATCAACTGTTCTGTCATGCCCAGCAAGGTACCTCTCTCTTTCTAGATGGAATGCTGTCTGCTTCATGGATCACTAATAAAAGCCAATTCAATCATTAAAATTAATTTGTTGAAATTTTGTCCTTTGGCATTGCATTCAATTAACATACATAAAACTTTTTGTTGGGTATTTACCTAGAATTAGAAGTGCTGGGAATTTTTTATGCATTTGTTTATCTTTTGTAGATACTGCCAAATAACTTTCCAAAGTAGGTGCATTAACTTACAATTACATCAGCAGTATATGGAAGTTTCAATTTTTTCACAATCGTGAGAACACTCAATATTATTTGCCTCTGTATTTTAGGTATTTTGATGCGTGTATATTACGATTGAAGTTTTTTGTGTAAAATTATTTGGATGCATTTAATTATCTTTAATTTTCTAAGATTGCCATCATATTTTCTATGCATATTTATGATTTTTTCATCTATTTTTCTCATTCTAATAAAACTGTTTTCTTTCTCTTTTCTAAATAAATTAGGTAGTACTTCCAGAAAATATTTGAGAAAAGTAGTTAAATGCTTGTCTTATTGCTGACTTTATAGAAAATGTTTCTACTGTTCAATCATTTTGTATACATCTACAAATATATACTTTTATATATTTATCATATCACATATATTTTATGTAACATTTTTAGAATGTTGAGTGAATGTAGTTTAATTCCTTTATTATATAGTCTTTTAAATTCAATTCACATGAACTATCACATGATTTTCACCAAATGCAGAAGTGACTATACAATTTTTTTTTCTTAGCCGTTAATGTGGAGTCCTAGCTTTTATACATTTATTATTCTTTAAATGTGAGGTTAGGTTGTGTTTCTAATATTTTATTTGGATATCATATAAATATAACTTAATGCAATTGATTCTTAGTATTTTTTTGCAAAACCTCGACCTTTTAAAAAAAATTCAAATCATATAGTAGATTCATAGCAAATAATTTGTTTTTCTTTTTTATGATTTAGAATAATTTCAAAATACACTTGAATTAAATAGTCCACATTTTTATTTAGATATAAAAGAAACAACGTATTTGAGGTTTCAAGTACTCTTAAAACATATTTAAATTATTTTTTCTTAAAGAAACCAAGAGAAGCATCCACAGTAAACATCTACCTCCAGAAGATGAATAAATAAACTAGAACAAAAACTGGATTCTTCTTTATATTTATTGAATAATTTAAAAGACATGATATTGATAGCATAGTTTTAATGTCATAATTTCAAACTCTGAAAATACTTTAATTTCACTACATACTTTAACTTACTTTTTCTACCTTTTTTTTTTTTTCCCCAGACAGAATCTTACTCTGTTACGCCCAGGCTGGAGTGCAGTGGCGTGATCTCAGCTCACTGCAAACTGTTTCCTGAGTAGTTGGAATTTCAGGCTCATGCCACAATGACTGGCTAATTTTTGTATTTTTAGCAGAGACCAAGTTTCCTCATGTTGGCCAGCCTGGTCTCAAACTTCTGGCCTCAAGTGATCTGCCCTCTTCAGCCTCCCAAAGTGGTGGGACTACAGGTGTGAGCCTAGCCAATTTTTTGCTATGTATTTTAAATGTCATGTTATTTTTTGCATGTGGTTGCCTGCTATATTTAACAGTCAATTTGTAATCTTGCTGTGTCTCTCTTCTCAATGGCCTATTATAGGATGCATCTATTGTTTGCTTTTACTAAAAATTCAGTGTGAAAGTCTATTTTAATATCATAGTTGACACAAATTTTTAACTATTTTTAGATTATATATTTTTTATTTTTTGTCTTTTATTGTTTTTGAGGTTAAGATAATTATTTATAAGAATAAATGTAACAATATTTAAAAAACATTCTTAAACCTGTCTTATATCAACATGAAAATAAATGACATTTTGGCCACCAAAAAGGAATTTAACATATTTTATATCTTTGATTTTAGGTCTCCTCTGTCTACTGAAGACAAAGTCTTAATTTCAAAAATCAAAGTGCAAAATATCTCTCATAACTTTGCCGGCTTCTAATCTCTAGTCTTACCTACTGCCTTTTCTCCATTTAATTACTTTTTTCCTACAGTCTAATTGAATTTCTTTTTCAACAAATTGTTTCTTTTCTTTAGACTTTTACATGTGTTATTTCCCCTTGAATTGGACAAAATATACAAGACTTCTTAAACTACTTTATGTATTCTTATATTTCTCAAATCCAGTTTAAATACTACATCCACTTGAAGGCCTTCTTTAACCTTTACTTTGATCTGACTGTCCTCCACTATGTTCCCATATTTTGATCTTATTTTTAAAAATCATTAATCACATTGTTTTGGTTTTGTTAAATTGTATAAAAATCCCTGATGGAAATTTAAAATTCTCTCAGACAAATCGTGAGTTGTACTTCTTTTCAACTCCACACTTAGTATCATTTTTTTTTTATTTCAGAAGGCTTTTAATAAATATGTATTATTTAGGAACATTTCTGACAGCTTTTCCCACATTTACTAACCTCATTATAATCCTTCTGCAGAAATGGATCTTAACCTAGAATCCTCAAACTTAAAAAAATATGGGAGCCATCAGCAAGTTCACAGGAAAATTTTTGGAAAATAAACTCTGTATCTGAAGAGAATGTCTCCTCATGTATCTGTAAAAAGAATCCATTACTCTAAAATATTCAGAAAGATCAGTATATATTTATTATGTAGAAACTGCTTTCAAGAGATTGATTGTTGAGGAATTTTTCCATGGAAATCATAAATGTATTTTCACTGGGTTCTACTGTAGTTGTGTAAACCAACAGGTCCTTCAACAAGAGTTCTTCAGAAATCATATACTTACGTAAAAGGAAAAAACATTACTTATGTAAAATAAACATAGTCTACTCTGTTTCAGTATATAACCTCACAATAAGAATTGATCTATATGCTAAGTAGGCTAATTCTTCAATATAATTTGGAAGTGTCATTGATGTATGCACATAAAACTCATATCACCAAGGTCCACTGAATACTAAGTGTATTAACATAGGCAAGAGGAAAG